>NC_000004.12:93769865-94072896 GCF_000001405.40 Homo sapiens | reverse complement strand
TCTCTGTATACACACCTCAATATCAAAATGTATAAATCAAATAAATAAACAGCATCTGCCTCTGTATATGTATCTGTCTTCTGTCTACAAATTCACTCCCAATATAAATGTATTAATGTATTAATTTACCAATGAAATTATCAATAATGGTTTGGTTAAATATATAAGCAGAAAAGTTATTTTTCATTTTAATAAAATTAATCTTTAAAAAACAATTAATTTTTAAATTATATTTATTCTCTTAATCTAGTCTTTCTGATTTCATCCCCTGATGAATGTAGGGAAATCAGTTGTTCTTTTTTAGTCACCAGTGACTTATAAAAGGCAGAGTTGGAAGGACAGTGATATCTTCAGCTTTTAAATTCCTGGGTCACACAATCTTTCCCTCAGATGGAAAATGAACAAATAAGAGGAAAAGTCATAACACCACCTCAAGTGCTGTTATGGCATTTACAGCTATTATAATTAGATATTAAGAGCCATTAAAATTATATTGGGACCAATATATAAAGAGCAAATTTGGAATCAATTTTAAGTTAAATGGATGGTCCTTTGAGTTACACAGATGACTGTCACACCCTCAACAAAAGAGAGAGAGGCCATCTATACTTTTATTTTTTATTTTCTTTTTAATTTTTATTTGTTTTTTTTTGTTTGTTTTTTTTTGAGATGGAGTCTCATTCTATCTCCCAGGCTGGAGAGCAGTGGCGCTATCTCTGTCTCTTGGATTCAAGCGATTCTCCTGCCTCAGCTTCCCATGTAGCTGGGAATACAGGTGTGTGCCACCATGCCCGGCTAATTTTTGTGTTTTTAGTAGAGATGGGGTTTCACCATGTTGGCCAGGCTGGTCTTGAGCTCCTGACCTCAGGTGATCTGCCCACTTCGGGCTCCCAGAATGCTGGGATTACAGGCATGAGCCACTGCACCCAGCCTATACTTTTATTAAAACCAGTATTAGCAGCTCTTTGGCTTTTTAGGAAGCTTATATTTTATAATTGGTACTTCTGTAATACTCAAAATTTGGCAAGCCTTGTGACATTATCTTTAATTTCTGTTGTTACTGTTTTACTCACTTTTTTTTTCTTTCTTTCTTTCTTTTTTTTTGTTTTACTCACTTTAAAAAAGAGTTTGATACTAACAGTCTTAGTCCTACCCATTTTGGAATTAAACCTTCATTTATTTATTGTTTATTGAACATCTAAAGTATAATATTACATCTTGCCTTTCAAATGTCATTCCCATGACAATTGGCCAGTATTTTAAAGACATACTAGAATCACCACACATCTTTAAACTGACCTTCACAATTTCCTGCTTTCCCCTTACCCCCAATCATATCTCCTGTGGATAAGGAGATTATGTAGAACAGGGCTCGGTTCTGCCTATATAGAGTTACTGCTATTTCCTTTAGTTTTCTTTTTCATTAAAAACAAATGAACAAACAAATCAATTTATTACTTATTTTAAACACAATTTTAACACAATATGTTCTAGTTTTCTACAGAAAAATATAAAATATAGACAGGCAGAAAGAAAAATCATTCATTATTGCATCACCTGCAGGTAAATACACTTAAAGTTTAATACTACTTATCATTCTGTTTTTATATAAGACTGTATATATATTTTGTGAACATCTGTTCTTATCAATATACCATTCCGTTGTATATAAATGCCATGGCTTAGTTAAACAGTTCCTTAATATTGGGTAATTTAGGTAGTGACTGATTTTTATGAATTATTTCACAACAATGAACCTTATATGTCCATGTCTTTACATATATCAGATTCTTTCCTCAGGATAAATGCCTCATGCTAACATTGGTCATTGGACTGAAGATTTTAAAGACCTTAGATTCATGCTGTCAAACTGCTTCTGGAACAGTTACACAAATTTACTTCCCTTATAACGTAGCTTCTTTATAATATTTTCTTTAATTTTAATAATTGAATCTCAAATTATATACTTAAAAATAGTTTAATAATGAATTATATGTAGATCCTCTATTTGAAAACAAACTGTGATTTCTTTCACAGCAAGGTGAAACCAGTTTCTCCTTGATGGCTAGATATTATGTAGTCAATCAGAAATGCATAACATTGCAATACTGGAATTGAAGCTTGTGAAAGAAGTGTCAAGTGAAATAAAAATTAAGAATACTTCTTTACCATTATGTACAAATTTACTTTTGACACCAACTTCATTTATCAGAGGTATGCATAATGAATTCTGAATTTTGTTCCATAAAGTTCCTCAATGCTTCAGCAGTTCTTAGAATGTTTTCTTTTAACAAAATTTTTTAGCTTACTTACAAATTATAAAAGAGACACAAATTCATGTATGCTATAAATTGTTTAACACTAGTAGCTATAATGTGTGAATTGTGCTGCTAGGTTAACTATTTTGTGCATATTACGGATTAAAGCTGCCAGGGAAGGTTTTATTATGATTATGATTATGAAAAGTTTCATACATGTGCTCAAATAGGTAGACTAGCCATCTCAGCTTAATTGAGTACTCAGATTTCAAGGGTAACTTGAACTGGTAGCATTTGCAGCTGTGCCTATATAGCTTTAAATAATGAAGATAAAATGCAGGGAAAAAATGAATACTGATGACTATACATGAGAAATGGACTACAGTTCTCATGTATAGTCATCAATTCATCAAAATGCTCATTAATTAGCTTCATAAACCAGAAACCTTAAGTATAATCCAATAAATTCTTCCACTTCAGGTTTTGCTTGATGTAAGGGCTCTATTCCTTAAAATATTTGAAGGACCATTAAAAAGGGGATATGACTGGCAAATTACACCATCAAGGGTTAATATAGAAGCATAAGTAGGACCTATTTGTGTTACTTTCCTCACAAGTCAGAAAGAAAATATATTTTTAAAAAGGAGAAGGGAGTCCTTACTCAATTTTTGCACAACTAGATTCTCCCCTTTGTGTACAGGCAGTCTTTGTTTTACACAGGAGTATGGGGACAATAAAAATAACTGTGCAAAATGATTTTAATAATGGTAAAAATGAAAATTGTTCTGTCTTTATTTTCCTCAAAACATTAAAAACTGTCTTACTATTGGTTATATATGTATATATAGGGTTATGATGAATAAAGTTATATATATACATGGTTATACATGTATAGGGAAATTAAAAAAGTAAAACTAATATTTTGTGCACTGTAGCTTAAAACATTAAAAATACTGAGAATCAATGTGTTTTGTTTGTTTGTAAAAGCTTCCCATGTGTTTGTAGTTGACCAGTGCTTGTCCTCTTGTTGCATAACTTACAGTTGCCTTGGCAAATTTCCAAACACCTTTTTTAAGTAGATGGTTCAGCTTCCAACATTTTATTCTCTTCACTTTTGATGTTGTAAATTATCTCTGAGAATTCCTTTTATGTGAAACTTTTTGCTGGAGTGACTTCCTCTGGGATATGAACATCTTCATCCTTTTCACTACAATCGTTTTTCTCATTTGTTTGCCTTCACTAAGTTCCTCTTGCTAGAGTCTCTCTAGTGGCAACTGTCTACACACACAATTGACTATTTTTCTATAACTCCATTTATGTGTGATTCTAATTTCACTTCCAGCTTTATGGTTTTGTTTTTTAAATAATTCCAGCACTTGCATCTTTGTTGGCTAATTCCTTCTTTTGATTATCCATTTTTGTAAAAAGTCACCTGTTTGTTGCCGTGAGACAAGGACACGACATGACTGTGTGTGACCTGAATAACAAATGCTCAGTGATCGATCACCAACGGACTTTGAAAGAAGTGATGTGATTGTTCACTGATCATGGTACACATCTGTTATTTATGTAGTGATTTGTGGACTGAAGAGCTGGCAGCGAAGTTTATACTTTATGCAATTACTCACATTTAATATACCGTGGTAACTGAAATTTGAATCATGTTGTTGGGGGACAGTTGTTATTTAACTAATCCATGGTAACTGAAGTTCATGTGTATGGGAACCATGCTGAGTCAGGAATGCCTGTATTCTCTGCTTAAACTGGAATACCGCAATTCCCTCTGAGTTTGAGACTGTAGTGAAATGAATGAAGAATGATCACAAAACAAAGAGAATGTCTAAATATGTGTTTAATTTGCACATGCATGCAATTTTTGACACAATATCAGGGCCCAACATTTTTGTTTGTAAGCTATTTACAGTTTCTATTTCCTGCATCACTGCTGTTATTATTTTGTAAATTTTAAGTATCAAACATGTAACTTTCAGAAATATTCAAACAATACCAAGACATTTTAATACTTTCACTACATACATCTTTAGTTAAAGCAACATGGAGTATTTAAAAAAAACATTTGTTTTGAAATAATTATAGGTTCACAATCTACAGGAAATTGAAAAGAATAGAACAGAGAGAGCTTGTATACCTTTCACCCAGTTTCCTCTATTGGTTACTTCTTATATACTTATAATACAATATAAAAACTGGGAAAATGGCATTGGTATTACATATGTGTATAGTTCTGTTACTTTAATCACATGTGTAGATTTGTGCAAGCAATCAAGATGCAGAACTATGCCATCATCACAGAGATCTCCTTCTTGCTACTTCTTTATAGCTTCACCCTTTATCCTTTATCCCTAGGCCTTGGCAACTGCTAATCTATAATTTTATCTTTTCAAAAATGGCCAGAAGTTTGTTCCTTTTGATCGCCGAATAATATTATGTGGTTAGTGTTGCTTTTATGTGCGTATTAAAAGTTTGTGTCTCTCCTGGAGTCTCCCTTCTAAGAAAGAAAAAAGTTTATATAAATTGTATTATACTATTTTATTCTCTTGCAACTTTTAGAAAACTCAATGTTATGTTTTTGATAGTTGTTACCTATTTCATAAATAGCATCTAGTTTTAAACATCCAATCCGAGAATTCTTTAGCTCCTTATTTAAGTGTATTTGTACTTATTACCATAACTGAAATATTTTTACTAATTTATACTATTTTATATTTAATTTTTCATTTACTTTTTTCTTGCTTGTTTCTCTCTTCCTGCTTTGGATTTTTGAATAATTGGATATTTTTTATTTCCTTTTTTCTCCTTTATTTTGAGGTTTTTTTTTATTCTAATGAGTACCTCAACTTTTAAATATTCATACATGTTTAAAAAATCTTTAAGTTAATAAGCATCTTTACATTTCTTGTAAGAAACTTTTAGAATTTTAGCATACATTATTTGCATCACGCCTCAAACTTCTGAGTGAATGTTTTATTTCCATCTTTGTTTTCCCTACTACCTTCTAGTAGTCATTACTGTCATTGCTGATATTTTACATTTACTAATTTCTTTGCTCTCCATTATTTCCTGAGTTCAGTTTCCTTCTTACCAAAGTTCACTTATTAGTAAATCTATTGGTGCAGTTTGTAACTGGCAAAAAGCTATCTCAGACTTTGAATGAGAATATCTTTAAATCACACTTTCTCTTAAATTTTTTTTATTATGAGGATGTTCAAACATATAGAAGAGTAGAAAAAAATAGAACCATGTACACCTGTGGTTGTATTATCTAGATTCAGACTGTTGAGTCTAGATTTTCACAACAATTTGAGTCTAGATAATAGACTCAAATTACTTGACTTTTTGCCATGCTTGCATTCTCTATACACGCAAACACACACGCCCTTTAACTAAAACACTTAAAACTAGGCCGGGCACTGGTGGGTCCTGCCTGTAATCCCAGCACTTTGAGAGGCCGAGGCGGGTGGGTCACCTGAGGTCAGGAGTTCGAGACTAACCTGGCTAGGGTGGTGAAACCCCATCTCTACCAAAAAAACCCCACAAAAATTAGCTGGGCATGATGGCACATGTCTGTAACCTAGCAACTGGGGAGGCTGAGGCGGGAGAATGGCTTGAACCTGGGAGACAGAGGTTGCAGTGAGCTGAGATCACACCACTGCACTCCAGCCTGGGAGACGGTGCAAGACTGTCTCATAATAAATAAAGAAATAAATAAATGTACAGCTATCATGCTGCCTTACCCCGAAATGAAAACAGTTCAATGTGCCTCTATAAACTTGGGATAGTTCTAATTTTATTATAAAATATAAGCAACAATTCTCTAATATCAACTAACATTCACTATATATTCATATTTTAAATTGTTCCAAAATAGTTTTTTAACCTCTTTTTTAAAACCGGGATCCAACCAAAAACTACACACTATGTTTATTTGTTATATATCAGAAATTTTTTAAATCCAGCAAAAGATCTTCCCTCTATTATTTTCATGACATTGAGTTCTTGAAGATATCAGACCAGTTGTTTTGAAAATGATCCATTTACTGGATTTGTTTGATTACTTCTTCATAGGATCTTTTAACCTATTCTTTGTGTTTCCTGTAACTTTTTCATCTTGCCTTTGAATGGTATTTTAACTGGTTACAGAATTCTAGGTTGACAGTGTTTTTTCTTGAGCATTATTCTCTGACCTCTATTTTTGACTGATGATGAGTCTATTGAGAGACTAATTATTGTTCCTTTGCAGGCAACCTATCTTTTCACTCTGATTGTTTTTAATATTTTATTTCTAGTCTTGGTATTTTGTAGTTTCAGCAAAAGGTGTTTTGGAGTAGATTTATGTTTGTTAGTATGCCTTGGGCTCTTCCAAAGAGAAGATAACAATAATAAACTTCAAACCAGGATTCTTATGATTCATCAATTATAAAAATTATCAAACATTGTCACACTGAATATGTTTCTACTCTATTCTTTCTATTATTTCCTTTTGGAGCTCCTATATTCTATATGTTGGACATTTTCATTTTCCATGCTTCTTCTCTTCCAAATTTCCCATCCCTTCACTTCTCTCACTACATTTTTCCTGGATAATTTCCTCAGAACTATCTTCCAATTCTTTAATCTAAACCTCCTAGAGCTCCATCCACTCTGCTATCTAACTCATCCTTTATGTTTTTAATTTGAATATTGAATCCTCACATTTTTCTTTTTCCTGAAGTTCAGTTTTCTGTCTTGATTTTAAAAATAATATCTGTTCTTTCCTTATAGTTTTTGTCTCCTTAATAGTTTAAAATTTACCTATTTTATAGTTTCTTTCATGTTGTCCTATTATCTGAAGCTTTTGGGTTCTAATTACCCTGTTGTTATATTGCTTATTATCGTTCATTCATTTTGGAGTATTTCCTCTTCTGATTTGCAGCTTTTGAAGATCAGATCAGCTTTATTGATGACTGTATGTGTGTGTGTGTGTCTAAATCCAGATAATAGTGCTGAAGGAAAATAATTGTCAATTTAGACCTCTATATACTAATGCAGAGTAGTCCTACATTTTCTTCTACCATGTATTTCAAAAATTGAATAGTTGGGAATGAATTTTTGTGCTAACTTTCTGGCTTAGGGATTTGTATGCCATAAAATAACACAGGCTGAATCTTTACTTTTTCAAATAAATTTTTGTATTTTAAAAACCTTGGAAAGTATTCTTGGAAAGACAATTTCCTTTTGTGTCTTTTGAACTGGTGGATGGAGTCCTTATCTCTCCCTAAGAGGCAGCCTGTTTAGGATCTTAACTTCATGAAAGGGTCTCATTTCTACCCCTTTAGGGTGCATGAGGTCAAGGCCACATCTCTTGTCTCTGTATGGAAATTAAGACCTTAGCCTCTGGCCTCTATCTAGGTCATATAACTTGCCCACATTTCTCTGACTGATTCAGGTTATCTTGTAAGCTGCCTGCTTTGGCTCCTCTTTGACCCCTGAATGTTTTTCTTTCTTTCACTGGACATCAGCTATATATTGTCTTCCTGCTATATTTGTTCTTAGCATTTAATATATTTTTAAGTTTTATTTTAGAAAAAGTTTTTGTGTAGGTCACTAAGTAGCAAAATCAGCAGAATGTCAGTTCTAAATATATGAGAACTTTGACATTGTCAAAATTTTTATTTTTCATTAACATACTTGGCATTTCAGAATAAAAAATTCAAGGAATGATACAAAACACTGTTTCATAAATACTGTAAAGTGAGCAAAGAAGGGAATATAAAAAATGGGGAAAACAAGGGCCATGGATATTAAAACCAAGATGCTGAGTTCACCGACACATGGTTCTTTATATTGTATAATAATTCCAATAAATTAAAAAATGATTAAATAATACATTCCCACTGTAAATGAATCCTAATTTGTGTAATCAAAGGTTGTTTTGGAAGGTGGAAGGGAATGATGGGGAGGAAGTTAGTTATAGGTAGCTTGTCAAAACTTTGAATTTGAGTTAGATTTCTTCCAGCAACAATGAAGGCAATACTTTTTATTCGGTGCTAGAGATGCATGTCCAGTGGAAAGAAATTTTTCTACTTCTCCCTTCCTGTGGAGGCCCAGGTGCATAAGGAAGGGGCAAGAGCACAATGTATGTGAAAAACCTTATTTCTAAAGAGAAGTGAGTTCAGACTAAACAAGTGGCTTCATCAACAAGGAAAATTTTTTAGCCTTGTCACTACATAATAGGATGGGTCTAGAGAAACAAGAGATAAACTCAATCTCTTAAGAATCCTGTTGAAAAAATTGGGTGATTTTTTTCAAAGAAAATATGGTAAGAAAATATTTGCTGGTGCTAAAATACCTACAAAATTTTAACTTTAAAATATGGTGTAGCTAAGAACTTAACAGCATTTGTTTTTATATTAGAATCACTCGGTTTGAATCGGAGCTCTACTACCTATTAGCTCTGTTGCCTTTGAGCAAATCATTTAAATTCACTTACCCTCAGTTTGCTTACTCATAAAATGATAATAATAAAAAAATTCCATGAGTCTAGTGAGAATAAAAATGAAACAACCATGAAATATACTCTATAAAGCACTGAGCATGGTGCCTCCATATAATGATCACTAATATGTAATAGCTACTATTATGAAATCAACACAGAGATTTATAGAAATCACTTGAACAGAAAAAGGCTTCAAAAGACTGGAAATGTAAAAAATTCGTCTCTTTGAACTAACTAGTCATAATTCTGGGATTTCTAAAATACAAAAAAAAAAGGAGGAAATAATATTATCCCTATAGCTTAAAAATATTGTGGTGGGTGTTTTTATATTATGTGAGCCTCAATTTACAGAAAACTAAGCATTGTTTGAAAAGGAAAGAGAAACATTACTTTTTATGAGTTAGTTTCCATGGTTGCTTTGTTAATGTGTTTGCCCTAGTAAAAATACTTTTAATTCACTTTTAATTTAATATAGAAATACTTTTACTTATTCACAAAAAAGATTGCAATAGGAGAAAATTTTCAGGCAATGATAAATCTTCTTTCTCTCCTTTGGACAGAATTTACAGGTCCAGATAATTTTTGTAATGATTAAAAGTGTATTTCTTATGAATAAAAATTTCTATTTTTTGCTATTAATTTGCCTATCCATTTTTTTCTAAGCAAATTTACATCTGCGCTAGGAAGAAAATTATAATGATTATTCTATCCTTTTGAAAAGGCAATGGTTACACTGAATCACCTGAGTTCCATCTCTGGGCAACAGGGACAAATGGTCACTTGCAGTGCAAAGATCAAGTACTGAGAGTGTGAGGTCAGCTGGTTTACACAACACCTAATGGGACTGTCATTTCTCAGGGTCCCCAGCCAAAGGCAGGGTGGCGACATGGTGTACCCATCACTAAGGTGCCATGTCTGGCATTTAAATGGGGCTCAGTAATTCCAGCGGAGCCGAGTTATTAGAGATCTAATTGCCATTGTCTAATAAATTCTTTTGAGGTCTTTGTGTATTGGTTCACTTAAGTATTCAATGTATGAAGGCTAGAAGCAGTTATTAAAAATGTAATTGTTTTGTAAATTTTTATTTTTCAATTCCAAAACACTCTCATGAATTAATAAACAGCATTCAGATAAAATAAGAATATTCATCAATAATGCAAGATTTTCTGTGTCATTGTGGGGTGGGGATATCACCTTACTGCATTGTTGATCAGAAACTCTGGGGAAATAACATTTCTTCTGTAATACACTTCCATGTTGGATATTCTAGACCATGTTTAGCTGGATAATTTTTATTTTGAACAAAATGTTTTTATTTTTATGTTCTTTCCAATAGAGATTGTTTGAACTCATCACCATCCTAAGTTTATTTCAAGTTATTACTTTCTGGATTGACTTTCCAAAGCTAGCTATGAATACACAGTGGACTTTAAAATAGCAAGGCTATTTTTGTTTAAAGTGAGCAAGGATGGTGTTGTCCCCAACTACTGAAATATAACAGAGCTTTCCTAAGGCATTTAGATGTTCCTCAAAACATTGATGCACAGTCAACAAATGGCAAAATGTAAAAACTCCAAAGGGGTTAGTGCTTCCTTAGATGACCTGATTGACAGCTCTAGGCTTGCCCAGTGACACTGTCATTTGAGGGAACCTACACTTTTTTTTTCCCAGGTTTTCTGATGTTTCTTCGGTGTCACAAGGGGACAAACCCCTGTGGTACTGCCAGGCCCTTCTCTGTCAGAGGGCTAAGACCTGGACTAATTCATTGCACTGCAGTTTAATTAAACTGCACTGGAGTTGTTTCCCTGGTAAAATAAGTGTGGGAAGAGAATGTGTGTCAAAAGGGACATGCCCCTTACTGTGTGTACTTTATTGTTACACCACAGCTAATATATTGTGGGAATTCCGTGGAGTCAATGATAAACTGTATTATCGAGCTCCATAAAATAGGCATTCTACTAGTGCAGGTTACTGTAGCTCACAATTCTATTAATCCTTCTAATTTATTATATTATGGCTGTATGTGAGGTCTCATAAATTTATTATACCCCTTTCATCTAAAAAAACCCCACATGCTTGTTTCTCCTTTCAAATAAAACCTCTTATTATTTGTTGTGTCTGTCTCTAAAAATGTAATAGCCACTTGTAAGAAAATATAATTACTGGCTGAGAAATGTAAACTGATTTGACATATCTTCTACCCTAAAATAAAAAAATTCTATTAAACCTTGCTGTATGAGTACAAATACTAGTGTATGAAGAAGTCCCATTGGATTTTTATTTCCAGTTTTCTGGCAAGAAGTTCACATGTTTATGATTATCATTCTTTTCATCATTTTTATTATGACAAAAGAATTTACTTATAGTACCCTTTCTCCTTTATCATTCAGAGAAGAGGCCAATAGGAGGGCAGAGATAACATCAGGTTTGTTCGTTTCTGTATCTTTAGTGCCAAGTTCAATGCCTGACACATATTAGAGGCTCAATAAATATGTGTCAAATAAATAGAAAGGCAAATGCAATCAAATATTTTGATATTTACTTGTATAAACTTTGATATAATTTTTATCTATAGGCATTAACATGTTTATTAATACAGCTTTATTTTTTATCAGCTATAACTGCATAAATATTTAATTTATTGTTTAAAAGGATGACATCTAAACACATGCAGGAATAATTGTATTAAGTTATGAAATTTTGGTTGCTGTTTGTAGGCTGCAATTCCACTTAGTTTTAGAAACCAAGATACTTCAAAGTAAATGACACTTTGGAGATTAAGAATAAGCTGAAGATTCTGTGGGCTGGCCCTCATGTGGTAAGAGGAAATGTAAATTGAGCTGCACTTCTTACCTGTTTTGGATCAGAATGATAACTGTGTTATTTGTAAATGAGTTGAAACAAGCTTTGACATTTTTGAATTTCAATGAGGCACCCTAGTTCTGTGTATCCTGAAGTATATAGGCAAGTGGTGAATGATACAGGAAGACTGGACACAGACTAGGAATCTATCTACTTTATTATCTCAAATGCCAGTAAATAGTAAAAATGACCAGAGTCTTTTTAGTAACTCTTGCTTTAGAGCACTTTGTTTGAAGGGAAATTATTTGTTATAGTACATGTGGTCAGGAATGACAAGATAGATGGAGACAATTGATATTGTAAACATATTAGAAACTTGAGAGAGTAAGTCAAGCTTGGAAACAAAATTTCTGTTTCATTTAAAAATCATTTCTCTCTTCACAATTGGGGTGGAAAGAATGAGGTTGACTAATTTTCTGGTATTAGCTAAATTTCCCTTGTTTCTGTTTTGTAAATGAAGACAGATCTTCCCTTTGATGTTATTTTTTTCTCCATCATAAGAAAGAAAAAAAAAAAGTCTTAAAATAGCTTCCATAAATGTGTCCAGAACTGACAACATTGGCAGTCCCAATGCCACCTCCTGTCTCATTTGGTCTTCAATGCCATGATAGTATCTTGTCATGTGACAGATGCAAGTTGTTCAGTTATTACCGGGGAGTTAAGTGGCATAGTGGAAAGAGCCTGGTTTTGGAATTCATCACATCTGAATTTGAATCCCAGTTCTACCTTTTAATAACTGCGAATTAAAAAAAAATTACTTAGTTTTTCTGAGCCTTCATCATAGGATTTTAATGAAAAATGTGCTAGATAATGTATGCCAAGTGATTAACATAGTTCCTGAGACATAGTAACTTCACAATAAATAGTTGCAATTATTTACCATTACTATCTTCACTCCCAAGTATAAAGAATAAAATGCCAAATCCTCCCACAGAAATGATATTTGAATAAAACAAGTTTCCTACTCTTGGGTTATTATTTGTTTACTTGAATTTATATAGTGCGTCTCCAAAGAACAGTGTAGTAATTTTAGATTACTAGGGGAGCAGTCTTGCCATTAATCTGCTGAGATTTTGACTACTTTCTTTCTCTCTTCACTTGCTACATTATTGAAGTGGGTCAGCTCTATTTCTCCATAAAGCAATAGAGAAAAGCATGTTTTGATTACAACTACACTTTTAATTTGCATGTATATATTCAGATGCTGCACTAAGGACAGTATGCACTACTCATTTTATGCCTACAGAATTAATATTTCCTGAGAGAAAAAAGTGAGTAGCTTTCAGAACTTTACAGCCACAAAGGACTTTGGACTTCATCTTTAGTTTAATTAGCATCTTCCCTACTTGGGCTATTTATAATTTGTGCTAAGCACTATACCAAGTGTGTGGCACATGGATTATCTTATTAAATCTTTACAATAAGCCTAAGAGGAAAGTGCAATGATTAACTCTCACTGATGGTTGAGGGCACTGAATGTTAGAGAGGTTAGGTAACATGCTGTAGATCATATGTATGGCAAACGGTAGAGCAGTGATAGAAAAGGTGGTAGTCACTTCAGGTCTGTGCTTCTGACTACTTTACAGTATCTGCACCCCTCCACCCACCTCAGTACAGGCTCTGTATAGTGTTCTGGACAGTGTCTAGTCAATACTAGCAGGTCGACTCACAGTAGTATAAAGCTTAGGGGAGGCTGATTAGCCTTGGGCATACCGCAGGGGCATCAATTTCTTTAGAACCACTGTTCTAATAGTAACTTGAAGATGAGATTCCTTACTCTTGAAAACACATACATATTTAAATTTTGATTGTAATATGAAATACTATAGATAAAATATATAACATGAGTTATTTCTTATATCTTTTGAAGTGTGGTTTTAACTTTTTTAAAAAGAACAGAGTGAAAACTAATAATGCATAAATAAGTAAACACTTAAATGGCTTTATAGACTTAATTTAATTAAAAAGTCAGGGATGACACAATCTCATAATTTGAAAGCACAACGACTATTTCTGTACTGGCAAAACTAACATCTTTATAAAATATCTAGTGTTTTCAGTTTTGGCATAAAAATATAATAAAGTAAAAATAAAAGTTTTTCTAATGCTATGTTTCATTTTGATAGAAAAATAGAATCCATATGAACATATATTTAAAAATTTTAAAACATTTTTATGAACAAACTATGCTGATTATTTAGGAACATAAGTAAGATAAACTTACTTCCTCCCGAAATGAGATAAAGGAGCAATTTTTGGCCCTGTTTGATGCAGTGTCACTGAGAAGTGAACAAAGCATTCTTCGTATTTCGGGGGTATATGAGATTCAGTAGGTATATGTGAAGTGTTACCTGGAATAATTCAAGGAATTTTTTTCCAATGTATATGACCAAAATAGCTGCTATTAGAACTATATTGAAAATAGTTCACCAAAATAGTTTCAAAATAGGACACTTTTTAAAACTTTGAAGTGATATAAGATTAATAAATGTCAAATTATTATTTTTACTTCAATTTCAAAACCCTTTATGTAACATCAAGGCATAAACTTTGATATGAGAGTGCTTTAAATCATATGAAATTGTTAGGAGGGAGAGAGCATACTATATCACAGTAAAATAGCGCACCATAGAAAGAATATTAATTCTTAGAAATGAAGGAAAGTTTGTATTAGCAGTATTTTCTCATTTGATAAAATAACTGTTTTGCTTTCTTTAAATAATGAGTCAATTTGAAAGCACTTATCAGTTTGCTGAATCAAGGAGGTCCACCTTGTTTAATATTTGCCATTCCATTATTTTATGTCTTAGTTTGCCTTTGACTTGCTGTATGTTGCTAGGCTTGTAGGGAACATTACAATTGCAATCTAGTTGCCTGCATTCTTAAGACTTTTCCTGTGACTTACATGAAACCTCTGTAAACCCTCCTGCCTTCTTCTGGTACATAATTCAGAGTGAGAGTGAGCATCTATAGAAGGAGATCTCAGCAGAAGAGTGACATGATCTTTGACCTGCTTGTGACATACTGTATAAAGATTTTGGGAAATGCTGTCTAGGATAATCGATCATCAAGCAATTTGGTATAACCTTGATGACCCTGCTCTTCCAAAGCAAGTGTAAACCTGGTACAGCTACTGTTTTGAAAAATTTGTATTTACTGTGTAAAGACTTATACCCTAAAGAGCAATAAAAATGCAAAATATAAGTTTGTCATATAAATGAAGGGGCATATATATGAAAATGTTGCTTTGGGCAAAATTTGCATAATAACTGTTGAAGTGTACAGACATTGAGAACAACTTTTCTAAGCTAATCAACCAGATATTGCAACTTGCAAGTGAGGGCATATGCTGTATATTTCTCTTGGTTGTCAATATGCTCATATATATCTCTGAATATACTTGCAGCTGCACAATACTTATAATCATTTTCCACTTTAATGTGAAAGACTTTTGAAGAAAATTAAAAAAATGAATCTAAGTTGAATTAAGTAAAGGAAAGAAACAAGAATCAAGCCAAGGAATAAAAAGTTTACTATGTGATAAGTAAACAATGAGATGAGGTAGTTATAATTAAAATTCCAGAAAGAAAGAGAAAGAAAAAAGAAGGAGGGGAGGAAAGGAGTGAGAGAGAGAGAGAGAGAAAGAGAGAAAGAGATAGAAATAGAAGGGAGAGTGATCAAGAGTAAAAGTTTTAATTATACGATAAACCCATGGTCCTTAGAATATTGGTGGTTCAAAATATTTTAGCAGTTTACTTCTACTTGCAAAGAATCCACTAGGAGCAGAAAAATATAATGAAGTGCTACAAAATAGAAAAGAGATAGCTGAAAAATGTCTGCCTTTGTAGTGTCCAAGTCTTATTGAAGACATTATGAGGACTGGAAAAAGATCTCATAATAGATAAAATCTATAATATTATAAAGGAGTGCATATAGAATCTACTATTAGAAATCACACTTTTGTAGTTTTGTACTGATGGCTAAACCTTTAAACATTGTTAATAATAATGAAACTATTTACCTATTGTATTTTAGTCTCACTTATGAGGGATGCTTGGGATGTAAGTGACGGGCCAAAATATTAGGAAAGAAAAGTCATATTCAGAGGAATGAATATGGTAAGGAGAGAAAGTCACAAAGAGAAAGTCAAGAAACCAAAGACACATGCACACGTATGTTTATTGCGGCACTATTCACAATAGCAAAGACTTGGAACCAACCCAAATGTCCAACAATGATAGACTGGATTAAGAAAATGTGGCACATATACACCATGGAATACTATGCAGCCATAAAAAATGATGAGTTCATGTCCTTTGTAGGGACATGGATGAAATTGGAAATCATCATTCTCAGTAAACTACTGCAAGAACAAAAAACCAAACACCGCATATTCTCACTCATAGGTGGGAATTGAACAGTGAGAACACATGGACACAGGAAGGGGAACATCACACTCTGGGGACTGTTGTGGGGTGGGGGGAGGGGGGAGGGATAGCATTAGGAGATATACCTAATGCTAAATGACGAGTTAATGGGTGCAGCACACCAGCATGGCACATGTATACATATGTAACTAACCTGCATGTTGTGCACATGTACCCTAAAACTTAAAGTATAATAATAAAAAAAAAGATATTAAAAAAAAAAAGAAAGTCAAGAAACCAATTTCCAGTAGACATAATGCAATGTTCAAGAATGGTGTGGCAAACTCTGAAATAAAACATGATCCAAGGGAGTCACATTCCATTACAAAGCCAAAATTTCCCTCTCACCAATTTGGAACATCATTATTTTAAGTGACATAATAAATCTATCAATCAATCAACCAATATATATTTGCTGAGGTTTGGTTTTATGGTTAGAATTATAGGAGACAGAGAAGGAAGACATATAGTTACACATATAGAAGTGTTTGGTCTAGGCCGGGCACAGTGACTCATGCCTGTAATCCCAGCACTTTGGGAGGCTGAGGCGGGTGGATCAGTTGAGGTCAAGAGTTCGAGAAAAGCCCGACCGACATGGTGAAACCTCATCTCTACTAAAAATACAAAATTACCTGGGTGTGGTGGTGCTTGTAATCCCAGCTACTTGGGAGGCTGAGGCAGGAGAATTGCTTGAATCCAGGAGGTGGAGGTTGCAGTGAGCCGAGATCACGCCATTGCACTCCAGCCCAGGCATCAAGAGCAAAACTCTGTCCCAGAAAAAAAAAAAAAACAAGAAAAGAAATGTATGGTCTAGTTAGTGAGACCTGAGTAACACATATGAAAGAGCAAGAACACAAGATCAAGTTACATGGTTTAGATAAAGGTAAATTTTTAAAAATATTCTTTTCTTTTTTTTATTATGAATATTTTCAAATATTGTAGACATTTTTGAGACAAGATATCAATCACACTCTGGTTGCCAGGGAAAGTCTTTCTAAATAAGGTGGAAGTTAAACTGGATCTGGAAGGATGGGAATAGGGAAAGGCCTTCAAGATGGTGAGCATGACTACAGGAGCAGAGGTAAGACTGAGCAAGACCAAATTACAGTTACAGATAGGGACCTGTACAGAATAGAGTAAAGGATCTTTATCTGGAACCAGTGGGAAATAATTTTGAATGAGTATGGTGTTTAACAAGCAGAGGCTTTAGGTTGAATTCTGTAAGTTGGGAAGTGCTAATTATTGACTAGGGAGTGTCACGTAAATAGTGGTAGATTTATTAGTCTAATAGCATGCACTGTGATTGGAGAAGGGGTGACCTGGTAAGCTGGGACAGAACACAGGCTGTTATGGGTTTGAAGACCAGTTGGCCTGGTTGATGATGCTTACTAGGTTGTTTAGGTTATTTTATTTTAAACCAGCTGGCGGGAAGTATAAAGGAGATACACAAGATTAAGAATACAGAGTGAGCGAATTCAGTTCCAAGGCCAGAGAAGGATGCACTCACAGGAACTGAGGAGCCCAGAACTCTAAAACTTGAGGCATTACATCAGTATTGATGAGTTCTCTATATTAGCGCTTAAAAAAACGGTTGTTGTATTGCAGTTCCATGTTCCACATCCATTTGTTAGTACTTTCAAGGGCCTGCGGTAAGCCTGTCCATGACAAACCACATTTCAGAGAGGCCACATGGAAGGCATGCTGCTCCTTTCATATCCTCCTCGATAACTGTATATGAGTGATACCCATAGATAATGAGTCACCATACTCTGAGAATTCAATCATCCTTCTTTTTTTTTTTTTTTTTTTTTTTGAGACAGAGTTTCACTCTGTCACCCAGGCTGGAGTGCAGTCGTGTGATCTCAGCTCACTGCAACCTCCGCCTCCCCGGTTCAAGTGATTCTCCTGCCTCAGCCTCCTGAATAGCTGGGACTACAGGCGTGCACCACCACACCCAACTAATTTTTTGTATTTTTAGTAGAGACGGGGTTTCACCATGTTGGCCAGGCTGGTCTTGAATTCCTGACCTCAGGTGATCCATCTGCCTCAGCCTTCAAGCCTTCTAAATTTTGCACACTTTAGTCTTTTCCTTTACATTCCCAGTGCAACCACCCAGGCCTAACACATTTTTACATCACATTTTTATCATTTAAAATGCTTCTTACTATACTTTTTCCTTCTGTGGTAGTTGTGAGAGAATTTCATCTGTCTACTTTTTCTAATGACAGGAATATCCTGCATTTGTTACTAGAACTCCAAAAATCATTAATTTTAAGTAGGGATTTGGGTTTAACTTTCTGCAGATAGCAAGCAGAGTGTGAGTGCAGTTCACCAATAGGAAATAAACATTTCTTTACATTCTCCAGTGATATGTCCAGGGTCTGGTACTGCTCAAAATCAGTGATTTAGATGAAATCATTAATGTTGAGTTTATCAAGTTTGGAGAAGCCTCAAACTTATCATAGCAGGTTGCCAATAAATGAGATCCAGCTACAGGATTAAAAAGGTTAGAACACTTTGTACTAATAGAAATCAACAAGATTTCTCTAAAAAGAGGAAAGTAAGATGTTCTTTTTTATATTAAAGAAAATACAGATGGTCTGAATCAGGCAGGGCCTTTAAATTCCTTTAAGATACAAGTTTCTGAGATTAGAAAGCTGCTCTGAACCAAATTTGTCTTTTTTGAAAATCATAAATCTACTAGTAATTCCTCTGGACTCTCGCCTTTTAAACTTTCCAAAGATGGGGATAAATGCAGATAGGCTTGGGTGATCTTGGTTAGTAGTAGCTAAATAAAAAAAGCTTTCTCTCAGTTGGAGTTATTATTTTTATTGCCCATATTCTCAAGATTCTACCTGTGTTCTAAGTTTTATAAAAAATTTCTCATGTATTGGAAGTGTTTATGCATGTTTGTCTCTCAAACTAGAGTCTTAGCTAGTTCATTTGTGGAAGGTAGATAATATGTCTCATTTATCTCAAAACTGGGAGGATATTTATTATGAATTCATTTTTAAAAATAGGTAAAGCATTATTCAGGTCTGCAGGTGATGAATTGTTTCAGTTTTTGTATATCTGAAAACACTTATATTTGCCTTCAGTTTTGAAACATAATTTTGCTGGATATGATATGATATGATATTCTAGGCTGACTTTTTTTTTCAGTTCTTTAAGGACGTTCTTCCTCCCAGCACTTTGGCAGGCTGAGGTGGGCGGATCACGAGGTCAGGAGATAGAGACCATCCTGGCGAACACGATGAAACCCCGTCTCTACTAAAAATACAAAAAAAAAAAAAAAAAAAAAAAATTAGCCAGGCGTGGTGGCAGGGGCCTGTAGTCCCAGCTAACCAGGAGGCTGAGGCAGGAGAATGGCATGAACTCGGGGGGCGGAGCTTGCAGTGAGCCGAGATCGTGCCACTGCACTCTAGCCTGGATGACAGCGAGACTCCGTCTCAAAAAAAAAAAAAAGAGACGTTCTTCCGTCTTCTGACTTGCATCCTTTAAGGCAAGAAGTTCACTGCCATTCTCTACTTTGTTCCTTTGTATGCAATGTGTATTTTCTAGCTACTTAAAAAATTTTTCTTTTAATCACTAATTTTAAGCAATATGACAAAAAAGTGTTTTGGTGTAGCTTTGTTCATGTCTATTGTATCACAGTCACTGCATTTTTCATTTCTAGAAGTTCAGTTTGGGTCTTTTTAACATTTTTCATATCTCTTCTTAATATGCTCGTTGTTTTTCTACCTTTTTGAACAGATGGAATATAGTTATCGTAAGTGTGCTCATCTATTAAAGTTGGTTAATCTATGTTACAAGCTTTGTTTCTATTTATTGATGTTTTTTCACCATTATGGGTTGTACTTTTCTGCTTATTTACATGCCTGATAATTTTTTTTATTGTGGTAAGAAACACGTCTCATAAAAATTTGCCATTTTTCTCATTTTAATTGTATAATTCAATTGTGTTAAGTATATTTATATTGCTGTGAAACAGATCTCCAGAACTTTTTAATCTTACAGAATGGAAACTCAATATCCATTAGAAAGCAGCTCTCTTTTGTCCTGCCTCCTCCAATCCCTGGTAACCACTACTGGTTACCTTCCACATTTAAGCATATACCTACTTTAGATACTCATATAAGTGGAATTATATAGTATTTGTCTTTTTGTTACTGGCTTATTTTATGTAATGTAATGTCCTCAAAATTCTTCCATGTTGCAGTACATGACAGGATCTCCTTCCTTGTTAAAGCTGCATAGATTTCCATTGTATGTATGTACCACATTTTGTTTATTCATTTATCATTTGATGGACATTTGAGTTGCTTCCACCTTTTGGTTGTTGTGAATAATGCTGTTATGAACATAGGTTTACAGATGTCCCTTTGAGATACTGCTTTAAATTGTTTTGAATACATACCCAGAAGTGGGATTGCCAAATCATATGGTAGTTAGTTCCATTTTTAATTTTTTTAAAGAGCTGTCATACTATTTTCCATAGTGGCGGCACCATTTTATGATCCCACCAATACTGAACAAGGATTCCAATCTTTTTCTGCTTCCCACTTAACATTTGTTATTTTTTGTTTTTTTGATGGTAACCATCCTAATGGGTGTGAGGTAATATCTCATTGTGATTTTTATTTGCATATCTGTAATGATTAGTGATGGTGACCATCTTTCCATATGCTTGTTGGTCATTTCTATATCTTGTTTTTTGTTTTTTTGTTCTTTTGAGACAGGGGTCTCACTCTGTCACCCAGGCTGAAGTGCAGTGGCACAATCTTGGCTTACTGCAACCTGCACCTCTCGATTTCAAGCAATTCTCTCACCTCAGCCTCCAAAGCAGCTGGGACTTACAGGCATGTGCCACCATGCCTAGCTAATTTTTGTATTTTTTTGGTAGAGACAGGGTTTCACCTTGTTGGACAGACTGGGTCTTGAACTCCTGATCTCAAGTGATCTGCCCGCCTCAGCTTCCCAAAGAGCTGGGATTATGGGCATGAGCCACCATGCCTGTCTGGTCATTCGTATGTCTTCTTTGGAGAAATGTCTATTTGAGTCTTTTGCCTATTTCTTAACCAGGTTATTTGATCTTCTGTTATTGAGTTGTAGGAGTTCTTTATATATTTTAGATATTAACTCCTTATGAGATACATAATTTGGAAATATATTCTTGCCTTCTGCAGATTGTCTTTTCACTCTGTTGATTGTGTTCTTTGATAAATAAAAGTTTTTAAGTTTTAGGTAGTTCCATTTATCTATTTTTGCTTTTGTTTTCTGTGCTTTTGGTGTCATACCCAAGAAATATTGTCAAATACAATGTCATGGACCTAATTATCTATGTTTTCTTCTAAGAGTTTTATAGTTTTTGGCCTTATATTTAGATCTTTAATCCATTTTAAGTTAATTTTTGTATATGGTGTTATATAAGGGTCCAATTTTTTTCCTTTGCATGTGGGTATCTAATTTTCCTCTCACCATTTATTGAAGAGACTGTCCTTTCTCCATTGAGTGATGTTAGGATCTTTCTTGAAGATCATCTGGCCGTACATGTGAGAACTTATTTTTGGGCTTTCTGTTCTATTCCAGTGGTTGATATGTCTGTGTTTATTCCAGTATCACACTGTTCTGATCACTGTAACTTTGAAATATGTTTTGAAATCAGGAAGTGTGTCATCTCCAACTTTTTAATTTTTTCAAAGTTTTTTGGTTATTCAGGGTCTCTTGAGATTCCATGAATTTTAGGGTTTTTTTTTTCTATTTCGGTGAAAAAATTGGGATTTCAAGAAGAATTGTATCAAATCTGTAGATTGGTTTGGATAGTATTGACATCTTAATAATATTAAGTCTTCCAATCTACGAACATGGAATATCTTCCCATTTATTTGTGTTTTCTTTAATTACTTTCAACAATGTTTTGTCGTTCTCAGTATACAAGTCTTTCACCTACTTAGTTAGGTTTATTTGTAAGTATTTTATTCTTTTTAATGTTCTTATAGATATAATTATTTTCCTAATTTTTTAATGATTGTTCATTGTTAGTGTATAGAAATACAACTGAGTTTTGTGTTGATTTTATACCTTTAACTTCACTGAATTTGTTTATTAGTTCTAACAGGTTTTGTTGTTGTTGTTTGTTGTAAAATCCTTAGAGTTTTCTGCATTTAAGATCATGTCATCTGTGAACAGAGATAATTTTACTTTTTCTTTTTCAGTTTGGATGCCTTTTATTTCTTTTTCTTGTGTAATTGCTTTGGCTAGGACTTCCAATACTATGTTGTGTAGAAGTATGCCTGGAAATTTCTGACTGGATGCTAGCCATTATTAGTTTCACCCTGTTGGGTGCTAGGAATATTTTTATATTTCTTAAATATTGTTGAGCTTTGTTTTGAAATGCAATTAAGTTATTTGGAAACTGTCTGATCATGTTGAGGCTTACTTTGAAACTTTATCATGTTGTCTTAGAGCTGACTTCAGTCTAGGGCTAATTTTTCCCTCCATTGAGGCACTATTCTACTAAGCACTCTGCCTAGTGCTCCATGTATTATAAGGTTTGTTCTAACTTTATCTGGTGGAACATGAGCTATTCCTGGTTCTTACACAGTGACAGTTCCTTTGATCTTCTTTGAAGGTTTTACACTGGTCTTAGGTTTTATATCTGTTAATTAGCACTCAGCTGAAGATTCAAGGGAATTCTGCAGATCTCATATCTGTACTGTGAATTCTAGCTGTCCTGACTTCCCTCAATTCTCAACTCTTTATCTTCATCTTAGGGAGACAATTGAGTCTATTTGGTTTTCTCCTCCTTGTGTTGTGGCCTGGAAGTTTTCTCCAGCCAGTAAACTAGTGTAATTGCCGAGCTAATCTTATTTGCTTCACTTTTCTTAGGGATTAACTATCTGGTGCTGTCTTTGGTCCAGTGTCTGAAAAGTGTTCTTTGTGTTTTATATAGATTTTTAATGGTTTCAGTTGTTTCTGGTCTCTGTTATTCCATCATGTTTCTGGTCTCTGTTATTCCATTCAGATTGTTCCTGGTCTCTGTTATTCCATCATGGTTGGAAAAAGAAGTTTCTCATTTATTTCTATATGCTGTATATACCCCTTAGCAATTTTCATATGAAACAAATACTTGTTGAAATGATTTTTTTTAACGAATAAAACTTGGACTTACGATTTTTTGTTGATTATTAATTAAATGTTATGAAAAAGTACAAAAGATTGATTACAAAAATGAGAACAACCCAAGACAATGTGAGCTCTACAAAGTGGATTATATTGTACGCACACACACACACACACACACACACACACACACACACACATATTTCAATGGCTGTCTAAAATAAATGGGGCTAACTTTATTCCTTATGGTTCCTTATGTTGCTAGGAGAAGAACCAATGAAATAACATTATAGAGAAGTAGATTTATGATCACTATATGGAAGAATTTTTTTGTTATTTAAAGATATCCCCTCCAAAAACGGGAGGAGTATGAGAGTTGCCCCATACTGAAAGTGTTCAAGGAGAAGTTTAGCAGACACTTGTTGAAGTTCTTTGGGAGTGCAGGTGATCATGGTATGCAGGGAAGGAGGGAGAAAGAAGAGCCTTGGTTGGAGTATGTGAATGAAATTTTTTCTTAAGTTTTTGTGATTTTACCAGTTGAAAATCTTTAGAAAGAATAAATGTTACAGTAGTAATATGAATTTTCAAGATAAAGAAATGCACAAACCAAGTTACTTCACAACAACAAACAGGAAAATTTTAACCCAGAATTTAGAGGTAAGAATATTAGACTAACTATAGCTGTACTTAATTAAAATCTGGCTTCTATATTCTATTTACATGGAGGCCTTGACCTTTTATTTTGAGGAAAATATGATGTAAAGTTAGATGTTTAATATTTAAGAAGCCTATATTATGTTTTAAAATAATGATGAACAATAGATAAATGACTCAAAATGTGTGGCCCCAATACTTTAAGGAAGTAAAGAAGATTATTTTGTATTGTAATTGTACTCTAAAGCTGTAAAGGATACTTAAGGGCACAAATCCTTGTATGACTCCATATATATATATAAATATAAATATATATAAAAATATAAATATATGTATAGAGTCATACAAGGATTTGTGCCCTTAGATATCCTTATATATTTCTTTTGTATATATTTATATGTAATTATATATATATTTATATATATGGGGTCATATATATATTTATATATATGGGGTCATATATATAAATACAAATATATATATTTAATAGGTTTTGAACATCTACATTCAACTTAGATCCCTCTGCTGGGTTCAGACGTATATATTCAGTTGCCCCCTGGATAGTGCTACTTGGAAGTCCTACAGATATCTCATACTCAATATGTTTGAAATGGAACTCTTCATTTTCCTTTTCTAACTGGCTCCTCCTCCAGTTTTCCATTTCTTAGGTAGTAAATGGCAAACTATCCGTCCAGCTGCCTAAGCCCAGAGAACTGATTTTCATCCTTAGTTTCTCTCTTTCCCTCACACTTGCCTTTAACAAATTATCAAGGTTTTCTAAATTCTTCTCAAATTCCTTTAGTTTTCTCCACTCACATCTCCATTTCTGCTACTTTAGTTTAATCTACCTTCAAGTCTTACCTTGTTGACTGAAACTATGCTGTCATTGGTATGTTGGACTCCAGTGTGATTCTCCTCCAATTAATTCTCCAGCCTATGAGAAAATTCCTTTTTAAAGGGATAATCTTTTATTATTATTATTATTATACTTTAAGTTCTAGGGTACATGTGCACAACGTGCAGATTTGTTACATAGGTATACATTTGCCATGTTGGTTTGCTGCACCCATTAACTCGTCATTTACATTAGCTATTTCTCCTAATGCTATCCCTCCCCCAGCCCTCCACCCCCCAACAGGCCCTGGTGTGAGATGTTCCCACCCTGTGTCCAAGTGTTCTCATTGTTCAATTCCCACCTGTGAGTGAGAATATGCAGTGTTTGGTTTTCTGCCCTTGTGTTAGTTTGCTCAGAATGATGGTTTACAGCTTCATCCATGTCCCTGCAAAAGAATGAACTCATCCTTTTTTATGGCTGCATAGTATTCCATGGTGTATATGTGCCACATTTTCTTAATCCAGTCTGTCATTGATGGACATTTGGGTTGGTTCCAAGTCTTTGCTATTGTGAACAGTGCCACAATAAACATATGTGTGAATGTGTCTTTAAAGTAGCATGATTTATAATCCTTTGGGTATATACCCAGTAATGGGATGGCTGGGTCAAATGGTATTTCTAGTTCTAGATCCTTGAGGAATTGCCACACTGTCTTCCACAATGATTGAACTAGTTTGTACTCCCACCAACAGTGCAAAAGTGCTCCTATTTCTCCACATCCTCTCCAGCATCTGTTGTTTCCTGACTTCTTAATGATTGCCATTCTAACTGACTTGAGATGGTATCTCATTGTGGTTTTGATTTGCATTTCTCTGATGACCACTGATGATGAGCATTTTTTCATGTGTCTGTTGGCTGCATAAATGTCTTCTTTTTAGAAGTGTCTGTGTGTGGGAGTCTAGGTCTCTGCAGGTCTCTAAGGACTTGCTATATGAATCTGGGTGCTCCTGTATCGGGTGCATATATATTTAGGATAGTTAGCTCTTCTTGTTGAATTGATCCCTTTACCATTATATAGTGGCCTTCTTTGTCTTTTGATCTTTGTTGATTTAAAGTCTGTTTTATCAGAGACTAGGATTGTAACCCCTGCTTTTTTTTTTTTTGCTTTCCATTTGCTTGGTAGATCTTCTTCCATCCCTTTATTTTGAGCCTATATGTGTCTCTGCATGTGAAATGGGTCTCCTGAATACAGCACACTTATGGGTCTTGACTCTTTACCCAATTTGCCAGTCTATTCTTTTAATTGGGGCATTTAGCCTATTTACATTTAAGGTTAATAGTGTTATGTGTGAATTTGATCCTGTCATTATAGTGTTAGCTGGTTATTTTGCGTGTAAGTTGATGCAGTTTCTTTCTAGCATTAATGGTCTTTACAATTTGGCATGTTTTTGCAGTGGCTGGTACTGGTTGTTCCTTTCCATGTTTAGTGCTTCCTTCAAGAGCTCTTGTAAGACAGGCCTGGTGGTTACAAAATCTCTCAGCATTTGCTTGTCTGTAAAGGATTTTATTTCTCCTTCACTTATGAAGCTTAGTTTGGCTGGATATGAAATTCTGGGTTGAAAACTATTTTCCTTAAGAATGTTTAATATTGGCCCCCACTCTCTTCTGGATTGTAGAGTTTCTGCTGAGAGATCCTCCGTTAGTCTGATGGACTTCCCTTTGTGAGTATCGACCTTTCTCTCTGACTACCCTTAACATTTTTTCCTTCGTTTCAACCTTGGTGAATCTGACAATTATGTGTCTTGGGGTTGCTCTTCTCAAGGAGTATCTTTGTGGTGTTCTCTGTATTTCCTGAATTTGAATGTTGGCCTGCCTTGCTATGTTGGGGAAGTTCTGAATAATATCCTGAATAGTGTTTTCTAACTTGGTTCCATTCTCCCCATCACTTTCAGGTACACCAATCACATGTAGATTTGGTCTTTTCACATAGTCCCATATTTCTTGGAGGCATTGTTTGTTTCTTTTTACTCTTTTTTCTCTAAACTTATCTCTTTATTTCATAAATTTTTTTTTTTTTTTTGAGATGGAGTCTTGCTCTGTTGCCCAGGCTGGAGTGCAATGGTGTGATATCAGCTCACTGCAAGCTCTGCCTCCCAGGTTCACGCCATTCTCCTGCCTCAGCCTCCCGAGTACCTGGGACTACAGGTGCTCGCCACCACGCCTGGCTAATTTTTGTATTTTTAGTAGAGATGGGGCTTCACCATGTTAGCCAGGATGGTCTCAATATCCTGACCTTGTGATCCACCCGCCTTGGCCTCTGAAAGTGCTGGGATTACAGACGTGAGCCACTGCGCCCAGCCTATTTCATTAATTTTATCTTCAATCACTGATACTCTTTCTTCCACTTGATCGAATCAGCTAGTGAAGCTCGTGCATGCATCATGTAGTTCTCATGCCATGGTTTTCAGCTCCATCAGGTCATTTAAGGTCTTCTCTACACTGTTTATTCTAGTTAGTTATTCATCTAATCTTTTTTCAAGGTTTTTAGCCTCCTTGCGATGGGTTTGAACATCCTCTTTTAGCTCGGAGAAGTTTGTTATTATCGATCTTCTGAAGCCTACTTCTGTCACCTTGTGAAAGTCATTCTGAATCCATCTTTCTTCTGTTGCTTGTGAGGAGCTGTGATACTTTGGAGGAGAAGAGACACCCGGTTTTTAGAATTTTCAGCTTTTCTGCTCTGGTTTCTCCCCATCTTTGTGGTTTTATCTACCTTTGGTCTTTGATGGTGACCTACAGATGGGGTTTTGGTGTGGATGTCCTTTTTGTTGATGTTCATGCTATTCCTTTCTGTTTGTTAGTTTTCCTTCTAACAGTCAGGTCCCTCAGTTGCAGGTCTCTTGGAGTTTGCTGGAGGTCCATTCCAGACCCTGTTTGCCTGGGTATCACTAGCGGAGGCTGAAGAACAGCAAATATTGCTGCCTGATCCTTCCTCTGGAAGCTTCATCCCAGAGGGGCACCCACCTGTATGAGGTGTCAGTCGGCCCCTACTGGGAGGTTCTCCCAGTTAGGCTACATGGGAGGTGAGGGACCCACTTGAGGAGGCAGTCTGTCCATTTTCAGAGCTCAAATGCCTTGCTGAGAGAACCACTGCTCTCTTCAGAGCTGTCAGACAGGGACGTTTAAGTCTGCAGAAGTTTCTGCTGCCTTTTGTTCAGCTAGACCCAGCTCCCAGAGTTGGAGTCAACAGAGGCAGTAGGCCTTGCTGACCTGCAGTGGGCTCTGCCCAGTTCCCCAGTTTGAGCTTCCCTGGCTGCTTTGTTTACCTACTCAAGCCTCAGCAATGGAGGATGCTCCTCCCCCAGCCAGGCTGCTGCCTCGCAGGTTGATCTCAGACTGCTGTGCTAGCAGTGAGCAAGGCTCCGTGGGAGTGGGACCCACCGAGCCATGCACGGGATATAATCTCCTGGTGTGCCGTTTGCTAACACCATTGGAAAAGCGCAGTATTTAAGCAGGAGGGTCCTGTTTTTTCCAGGTACAGTAAGTCCCCTGACCCTCGCGCTTCCCGGGTGAAGTGATGCCCTGCCCTGCTTTGTCTCGCCCTCCATGGGCTGCACCCACTGTCCATCCAGTCCCAGTGAGATGAACCAGGTACCTCAGTTGGAAATGCAGAAATCACCCGTCTTCTGCATGGATCACGTTGGGAGCTGCAGACTGGAGGTGTTCCTATTCGGCCATCTTGGAACCTATCGGCCTTAAAGGGATCATCTTATTCAATCACTTTCCTGCTTTAAAGTCAAAGCAAAACATAACCAAACAAAACTAAACAAACAAAAAAATCTTCAGTACTTTACCACTAGCCTATTGACTGAAGTCCCAACTCATGGTTTTCCATGTTAACCACTACAGCTTCAATTTTCACTATTGGTACTTCATGCTCCAGGCATATCAAACCTATTTATTTATTTATTTATTTTTGAGACAGAGTCTCACTCTGTCACCCAGGTGTGATCTCAGCTCACTGCAACCTCTGCCTCCTGGGTTCAAGTGATTTTCCTGCCTCAGCCTCCTGAGTAGCTGTGATTACAGGCACCCAGCACCACACCCAGCTAATTTTTGTATTTTTAGTAGAGATGGGGTTTCACCAGGTTGGCCAGGCTGGTCTCGAACTCCTGACCTCAGGTGATCCACCCTCCTCGGCCTCCCAAAGTGCTGAGATTACAGGTGTGAGCCACTGCACCCAGCCATATTAAACTTTTAACCCTTCGAAAGTGCCATGTTTTCTATTTCGCTTCTCAGCTTTGCCTTATGTCTCAGCCTAAACATTTTATCCCACCTTCTCATCCTCTGGTCTCAGACTTACACACTTCCCCAAAAGGTACCCTTGCCTAAAATTCAATTGAGTAGCCCATATTTACTTCCATATATCTTGTGCAGGAATTATTGTCTCCACAACAGAGAAAGCAGAAACTTTGAGAGACTGACTTGCCCAATGGCTCACAGCTACAAAGTAGCAGAGCTAATTCCTAAATCCCAAACTTCTAGGGCTTATTTCATTATTCTACAACATCTCGTAGTATGCTTAGTTTCATCTGGTCAAATGCATGCTCAGATATTATAGAATTATTTCTGTTCCTTGAAAGTTCCATGTGGGTTCATTTCTCTATTTTTCTATGTATTCTTTGTTTCTAGATTAACTTTGTCTTCCTGTCTACCTGGGAAACATTTATCTTCAAGACCTAGTCGTAGAATGTGAAGCATTCTCTGGTCCAGCCTCCCTCTTCAGGGTCATTATGTGGTGTTTTGGTACTTAGTTCTTGCCACTTTTATGAGGTTAATGCTATCTATTGAAATGTCCTATTATATGTTTACCTTTCCTGTTAGACAGTAAGCTTCTTGAACGCAGGTATTTGTCTCCATCACTTCTAGATCCCTGGCACTCAGTACAATGACCAACACATATTAGGTTCCGTATATTTTAAACCAAATCATGGAAGCACATGTAAATTATAGTCGCATGTTCATTTTTCACATTTCTTTTCTCCATGACAGCATGGACATTGTCCACCTTCTTATCAGGATAAGGTATGTAACCTATCTGTGCAAAAAAGGGCCTTGCATGACTTTTCAAAGTTTCCAGTTCCAAGACCTTGTTACTAGAGCTAGGTATTTATATATGTACTAACTGCTGCATGGGAGTTTAATTTCAGACTTTTCTATTTTCATATATTCTCGATATGAGATTGTGGAAATTAATGGAGGCTTCTTGTGTTTTTATTACACACACACACACACACACACACACACACACACTTATTCACAGCCTTTCCAATATCTCCTTCAAGCTGGGGAATTAAGAGCTGTATGAACAGGGGAGGAGGTGAAGAATGAGGAAAAGCAACCAAGGTTGTGTGGTTGAGTGACATGACACGAGAACTTCCTTCTCTGTCTGGTACTCCCAATTTTCAGTCTCTGTCTCCATCTAGGCAATGGGGTGAGAGGGAGCTGCACTGATGGAGAGGCTGCTGTAGGAGCTTTTGTATCAGGTGAAGCACCCATTCTCTGTGTTGTTTGAACACAGACACACACAACTCCCTCATGCTCCATGGTTTGCAATGTACTGCAGCAGTTTACCTTTTGCACAAATGTAAAATCAAGCAGTCATTCATTGTGTGTGGTGGTATAAAGATTTGATGGCTTCCAATCCCCAAGTACAGGCATAACTCATTTTATTGTGCTTTGCTTTATTGAATTTGGCAGATATTGACCTTTTTACAAATTGAGGATTCGTGGCAACCCTGCGTTGAGCAAGTCTGTTGGCACCATTTTTCCAACAGCTTATGTCACTTTGTGTCTGTGTCACATTTTGGTAATTCTTGCACTATTTCAAACTTTTTCATTATTATATATCTGTTATGGCTATCTGTAATCAGTGATATGTGATGTTACTATTGTATTTGTTTTGGAGCACCATGAATTCTGTCCATACAGGACAGCAAACTTAATTGATAAATGTGTGTACTCTGACTGCCCCACCAATCAGCTATTCCCCAGTTTCTCTCCCTCTTTTGGGGCCTCCATATTCCCTGAGACACAATACTGAAATTAGGCCACTTAATAACTCTATAATGGCCTCTAAGTCTTCAAGTGAAAAAAAGATTCACACACCTCTCACCTGAAATCAAAAGCTGAGAATGATTTAGCTTAGTGAGGAAGGCATGTTGAAAACTAGATAGGGCCAAAGCTAGGCCCCTTGCACCAAACAATTAGCCATGTTGTAAATGTAAAAGAAGAGTTCTTGAAAGAAATTTAAAGTGCTACTCCAATGAACACACAAATGATAAGAAAATAAAACAGTTTTATTGCTGATGTGAAGAAAGTTTGAGTGGTCTGGATAGATGATCTAACCAGCCACAGCATTCCCTTAAGTCAAAATCTAATCCAGAGTAAAGACCGAATTCTTTTCAATTCTAGGAAGGCTGACAGAGATGAGGAAGCTGCAGAAGAAAAGTTAGAAGCTAGCAGAGGTTAGTTCATGAGGTTGAAGGAAAGAAGCCATCTCCATAACATAAAAGTACAAGGTGAAACAGCAAGAGCTGATGCAGAAGCCACTGCAAGTTATCCAGAAGGTCTAGCTAAGATAATGGATAAAGGTGGCTACACTAAACAAAGAATATCTATGTAAACAATATAGTCTTCTATCGAAATAAGATGCCATCCATTAGCTTTTATAGCTAGAGAGAAGTCAACATTTAGCTTCAAAGCTTCAAAGGATAGGCTGACTCTCTTGTCAGGGGTTAATGTAGCTGGTGACTTTCAGTTGAAGCCAGTGTTCATTTACCATTCTGAAAATCCCAAAACCCATACATATTAAGCTAAATCTACTCTGGTTATGCTCTATGAAGGAAAACAAAGCCTGGGGGGACAGCAAATCTGTTCATGGCTTGGCTTACTGAACATTTTTAGCCCACTCTTGAGCCACACTCCTCAAAAAAAGATTCTTTTAAAAATATTACTACTCGTTGACAATGCACCTAGTCACCCAAGAGCTCTGATGAAAATATACAGGGTGATTAATGTTGTTTTCATGCTTGCTAACACAGCATCCATTCTGCAGCCCATGATCAAAGAATAATTTTGATTTTCAACTCTTACCATTTAAGAAATACATTTCTTTAGGCTATAGCTGCCATTGATAGTGATTTCTGTCATGGATCTGGGAAAAGTAAATCGAAAACTTTTTGGAAAGGATTTACTATTAAAAACATTCACGATTTATGGGAGGAGGTCAGAATGTCAACATTAGCAGAGGTTTGGACAAAGTTGATTCCAACCCCCATGAATGATTTTGAGGGATTCAGTACTTCAGTGGAGGAAGTAACTGAGATGTGGTGAAATAGCAAGAGAACTAAAATTAGAAGTAGAACCTGAAGGTGTAACTGAATCGCTGCAATCTCATAATCAACTTGAATGGATGAGAAATTGCTTCTTATAGATGAGCAAAGAAAGTGGTGTCTTTGGGTGGAATCTATTCCTGGTGAAGATGCTGTAGACATTTTGGAAATGACAACAAAGGATTTAGAACATTACATCAACTTAGTTGATAAGGCAGTGGCAGAATTCGAGAGGGTTGACTCCAGTTTTCAAAGAAGTCCTACTGTGGGTAAAATGCTATCAAACAGCGTCACATGCTGCAGAGAAATCATTTGTTCAAGGAAGAGTCAATGGATGGCACAGACTTCATTGTCTTATTTCAAGAAACTGCCATAGCCAGCAACCACCACCCTGATTGGTCAGCTGCCATCATCATCAAAGCAAGATCCTCCATAAGCAAAAACGTTATGACTCGCTGAAGGCTCAATGATCTTTATTATTTTTTATCAAAACTGTTTTTAAATTATGTACCTTTTTTGACATAATATTATTTTACACTTAATAGACTACAGTATAGTATAAACATAACTTTTATGTGCACCAACCGAGAAACCAAAAAAATCAGTGTGACTAATTTTTATCACTTTATTGCAATATTTGCTTTACTGTGGGGGTCTGGAACTGAATCTTCAATATCTTCAAAGTATACCTATAATCACAAAACTTCTGCTGAAGATTTCTTTTAGTTCTCTCTCCTCTGTCTTCTTCTTTCCCCATTAACCACTGCCAGCGAAGAATAACATACAAATATTTGATCTTTCCTTGGGGTTGCTGGAAATAACATGAATTGGGAGCTGGAGAATCTTAGGTTGGTATTCTTCCTTCATCATTTATTAGTGATGTAAACTTGAATAAACTGCACAATCATTCTGAAGCAGTTTTCTCACCCATGAAATGGACTTAACAGCCTGCACCTTGCAGTAGTTCAAAGGACTAAACAAAACAAAGAAGAGGACAGTGCTGATGCCTGGTAGGTCTAGCTCAGCAAGTGTTAGTTCCCTTCTCCTTTTCCCTTACTTTATCCTTTCTTCTCTATCTGTTGGTTCAGTTGTTAATGGGCTACGAAATTCTCCAAGTATCAGGAGTAAAGAAGAGAAGAAATACAAGGGAGCATAATAGCTCCATTGCTCACTGGGAGTAGAAAGCATATACTTAAAGTACTGAGGAGTATGTTTTGAAATTCTTTATGAAGCTTGTCATCAAACCTTATAATAGGATTTTTCTTTCTGAAAGCTTGTGAAGCTTCATTGTTCCAGTTTGCTCTCTGTCCTTTGGAAACCATTAACTCCAAGAAAGGCATCCAAGCTCCTCTTTAGGTCCTAATATGGTTTGACTGTGTCTCCACTCAAATCTCATCTTTAATTGTAGTTCCCATAATCGTGTCATGGGAGGAACCTGGTGGGAGGTAATTTAATCATAGGGGTGATTACTCTCATGCTGTTTTCCTGATAGTAAGTGAGTTCTCAGATGGTTTTATAAGGAATTTTTACCCCTTTTGCTTGGCACTTCTCCTGCCTGCCGCCATGTGAGACATGCCTTTGCTTCTCCTTCGTCTTCTGCGATGATTGTGAAGCCTCCCCAGCAATGTGGAACTGTAAGTCCATTAAACCTCTTTCCTTTATAAATTACCCAGTCTCGGGTATGTCTTTATCAGCAGCGTGAGAACACACTACCACAGGTCCTAAATCAGTAGTTCTTAACCCTGGCTGCATGTATGAATTACCTGGGGGCACTTACTGACATTATTTTTAAAGTTTCTAAAAACATGCAAATGCTGGGGCCCCAACTTAGACTTACTGAATCAGGATCCCTAGGGATGAGGCCTTGACATTGGTATTAAAACAAAATTCTCTAAGTTATTGCAGTAATGACTGCAAAGTTTGGTCTAAATAATAATGTCACTATGATGTTCATGCAATGTCTGATTGATAGTAATAGTTGTGTAGTAACTTTAAAAAGGACATAAACCAGGGGAAAACTAAATGGACAAAATGTAGAAAGAGTATATATTATTTTAAAATATTATTTGTATACTTTATGGCAAAGCAGAATCCCCAAAGCCAAAAACAATCTGTAAATATGATAAATTCCAATGTGAAGAAGAAAACCACTCTTTTTTTTTTTTTTTAAATGAACCAGTTGGAGCAGCATTGGGGAGGTTGCTAATTGGATTCAATGAAGGGTTGAGATATCCGCATTTTCTTTTTTAATTAGAGAAATCAGGTATAGAGTCAACATTTCCAAGAATAAGAAACTAAAAATAATAAAAATATGGCATACTAAATTCAAGGCAGCAAGTAAAGAGGTGTATTTATTGGTATAACTTGAAATATTAACCCCTTGGAAACAGCAGATATCTCTTTGGTCAGAAATGGAAAAGAGCTATTATCAGATAACAGGGCCAATTCTCCTGGGAGCCTCCTGGATTGTGTCTAGTCCCCAGATAGGGGATAACACGCTCCTCCCAGCCTGAAGGCCATCCTCCTAAGTACTCACTTGGCAGGCATCCTGGAAAATGGTTGTGTTGTAAAGGCTAAGTTACTCTTCTCAGAGATCTCTATTTGACATGATAAAGAAAAAAAAAGCTCAAAGCGCAAACTGTATACAATCCAACGTACATTTTAAAAGATGTACTAGTGAGTATTTTATATAGTGGGTCAGATTTTCATTCTGTGAGATTCAAAAGAAGAAAAGAACCTTTGAGTTGAGATCCTCGCTTATTGTTTTTAGTGATGGCGTTTAGAGACAAGCGATCCAAGAGAAAATGCATTTGAAGATCGTGATTTTATAAGCAATGGAAGTTTCAGGTGTCAGTAACCCATGTTGCACTGGCTTCAGGTGATTGTTGACAGTTATTTCAAAGTACTTTAGCACTGTTATTTGTAGAAAATAAATCCAGTATAAACTTTTGCTGAAAATGAGGCTTCCTTTTTCTTAATTGCAGCAAGCAAACATCTACTGTCAATACACTGACAACAAAAGAAAAACATAAAAAAAAAAAAATCAGACCTTTTTCTGGGACCAAGCTGACTGATTTATATCTTCAGAATAAGACTTGCCAAGTAAATATAATTATTAACTTAAAGCTTATTGCAGTTTCTCAAAAAATAATTCCAAATTGTCTCAACAATGAAAACCTTGCTAGATCACAAATCTTGATCAATTTATTTTGGATTATTCTTTTCTTTTTCTTTTTGTATCTTTTTTTTTTTCCCGCATAGAAACACCATCACCACTACCGGTTAGGAAAAAAAAAGGCATATTTTTTCAAAGGCTTATTATTTTCCAAATTGGCATTGTTAAGGAAGATTTCAACAATATTCCAATGGTGTACAAAGTAAAGTATATCCTTTCTAAGACTAGTTGCTTCTGAAACAAGGTTTATCTATTTTTGTTTTAGAAAGCTACCTGATCCTCAGTCACAACTATTTACTTACAGAAGAGTGAGTTTTAAAATCTCCTCATTTTATGTGCTCAAAAGTTCTAGTAACTTTAAATATTTTTTCTCACTAACTTTTGCTCAATATATGCCTTAAATTTGATGGCCAAATGTTATTCTTAGCTCAAAAGGGCGTGACTGCTGCTTGTTCTTGGGACATCTCTTGGTTGTTTTGAGCCATGACTCAGAGCAAGAGGTCACTTGGTGGAGACTATGCTGTCTTTCCTGTGGGGGTGGTGGGCGCAGAAGCATCTGCTCTGAAGGGCAGGTTCCCTGCCTGCCTGCTGTGTCAGGATTCAGAAATATAGTGGCTGTAACTTATGATCCAACTGAGGATGCCTAGAACTGAACTTCACACCCAATTAGTAGTGGGCCAAGCTTCCTTGTCACAGCCCTGGGTTTTAGTTTGGGTGAGGGTTGTCACTGCATAGCCAGAATCTGAACAATTTAAGAGCCCTCTAAAGGGAAACAGCCCATTTTATAAAACACAGACATAAAGTCCAACCAAAAAGGTGATGTACTTCTTTTATAAGCTATAGTTCATAACTTTATTACAACATTGCTTTAAGTTCATAACTTTATTAATTTTCCACTTGAGAAGTGATTATTTCAGAAGTTATTATTTATTTCACTTTAATTTGTTACTACCATCCTTTGTTTCAGAAAGAATTCAATTTATTTGGCTTAATGGAAATGCAACAAATCAAATGTAAGCATGAATGGATGAAGAAAAGAAGATATAATGCACATAGGATAATTATCTATGTATAAATTCATGGTAGCACTTTATTTAAATGTAAGTAAAATTAGAAAATCGTAGCACATATTGTTTGAGAAACAAAAATGATTCAGGACTATTTTATTATAATGTACTAATTTTTGAAATTAGATATTACTATTGCCATATGTTTAATAATAGCACATACAATTAGAGTGATCTTTAGTTCATCTTTCTTTTCCAGGACATGGAGAAAGTCATAGCATAGAGAAAGCATGACATTGGCCTAAGTTTCCCAGAATTTTCTTAAGGAGCATGTTAACTACAGTTATAGTAAGAAATATTTGACAGCATGGGACTATCTTATAATATAAATACTTTCAATATTCCTATGCATTTTTCACATTAAAATACATGGAATCAACATATAGATAACATACATGGAATCAACATATAGATAACATACATGGAATCAACATGTGTTATGGTTTTATACTTCACATTAAATATTATACATATGCACATATTTTGGATAACAAAATTCTATTGGCATCAAAGAACTAAGGAGAAAATGTGACACCACTACAGAGAAAATGTTTTTGGGAGCACTTTTCAAATTTGAATGCTGTTCACAGCTAAAGACAAAAACAAAACCAAAAAACAAAAAACAAAATTAGAACATAACAAATATAATGTTTATGGATGTACATGCTACTTTGGTATATTAAAATTTATAAAAACAAACAATTCTACCCCCCACTAATACAAAGAAACAAGATTAAAAACTCTCCTCCGATGGAAAATTTTAACAGGAGGAAAGACAGTGGAATGAGGATTTAATTTTTGTTTTTGCCAGATAGAAAATTTACTTCTCTAAGTTTTTAATTTATGTAATCACACACTTTGTTATATTAAATAAAAAATTATTTAAAGTAGGCACAGTAACAGTGACTGAGATAAATATGTAGGTATTGAATTCTGCCAGGTAAAGTTATTTTGTTATTACTGGTTATCAGAATAGCAATAAATTCTTAGGCACAAAACTTCCACCGATATCAGAGAAGACTGTGAAATACAAAACATTTAAGTATTGCAGTGGATAAACTGCCTTTAAAAAATAAAAGAAGAACATAGAGGTTAGAGAACTGTTGATTAACGAAACCCAAACCCACAGTATATGTTTCTACAAGAATAGTCCTTCTGGGAGAAATATTGTTTTAGGTCTCAAAGGAAGCCATGCAAAATTAGTGACTTATTGTGGGGGAAAGAAAGTGAAAAACCTGTATGAAATAAGCACTTACGTGAAAATGTAAAACATGATTCCAGGCAGCTCTAGCTACCACAGGGACTACTAAGATTAGCACTGGCCCTGACACCTGGTGATCCATTGGGCTTGGAAGTAAGAATTTATCTTAAATGATCACCTTCAGCTTCAGTTATCTTACTTCTATGGTTTATACATCAAAATAAACAGATCCTATGTAGGCACATGGGACTCAGTATGAACTATTTTCAAGTCAGCCAACAACTGAGCAACTTTGATTTCTGTTTTACAGAAGGCTCTGATGGGAAGTTTGTGCTTTTTTTTTTTTTTTTTTAAATCAGCCATTCATTATTAGGCACAGACATGATATCAAAGTCAATTCTCTCTGCAATGTTGAATAAAGAATAGCAGCAGTTGGAGTGAAAAAAGTGCAAGATTCCCATGAAGATTTGGCTTATGATTGAGAAGAAAATGAATTCATTAATTTTCGTAAGCAAATGTCTTTTAAAAGTGTAATTAGTGTTGTATTCAAGAGGTAAGATGAGAAAATGTTGATTTTCTCATGAACTAGCTACTTACTTCACAAAGACTAAACCTAAATAGCAGACATTTAAAAAGATGGGTTCAGAACATTACATTGTAGCACAGATGTATGTCATAGGAAAAACCTGATATCACTAATGACATTCACTTTAAACATGGATGGAAAACATCAAGGTCAATTCACAAAAAATTTACTTGTTGTAAAATGCTCTTGGATTCTACTTTCTAAGCAAAAACAAAAAACAGAAATTATTGAAGCATTAGGAAGGAGAGAAAACTTGAAAAAACACCGCTATACTGGCAAATGTTTTAACAATTGTAAAGTGTCCTTAGACATATGGGCTTTTCAGTTGATCAGGTCAGCAGAAATAGGCTACTACTCTATTTTCTAAGATGATAAATAGAGAGAAAAGTAGTGGCAGGGAGATAAAGACCTAGAAGGAGGAATTCTTTTAAACATTGTCTTACCTGCTTGATGTCTTATTTGTGCAAACAGTATGTTTATCCCATGAGAGATAATACTAACTGAGGAACACAAGTGTAATAGCATCATTAGTTAACATGAGGCCTTACTTATTAGCTTTATTACTATAAATACTAATGATTCCTGAATAGGCTTTTTGTCTTTAACTTGAGCTTCGTTCCTTCATAATAGCTGTATGACGACAGAGCAAGTTCTGAGGAGTAAGATCTGAGAGACTGGAGAAAAAAAATCAGTAAAACTAATTTGAGAACTCATCTGAGGTAAATACAAAGTCATAGGCAAAGTTTTTTAAAAATATATTTATTTAGGAATTCATATTGTGCCTTCACAGTGTCTACAAACTAAAGAATAATATGTTGGAAAAATTTTCATTTACAATATTATTAATTGTAACAGGTAACACTTGTAAAAACCTAAATCCATGAAAGATAATGTTTCACGTGTTTTGCATGTGTTAACTTATTGAATTCTCATTGTAGGAAGCAGTGGGACGTGGGTACTAATATTATCTCCATTTTAGAGAATGAAGAAATAAGCATAGGTAGTTTAAGTAACTTGCTCAATGTCTTATATTCAGTCATTAGAGTCCAAGGCAGGTTTTGATCTCAGGCAGCCTGTCTCCAAAGTTCATGCTTAATTGCTATATGACAGGTAAGTGCATAGTTTATTCTTTTTTTTTTGAGACGGAGTCTTGCCCTGTTGCCCAGGCTGGAGCGCAATGGCATGATCTCGGCTCACTGCAACCTCTGCCTCCTGGATTCAAACCATTTTCCTGCCTTAGCCTCCCAAGTAGCTGGGATTACATGTGCCTGCTGCCCGCCTAGCTAATTTTTGTATTTTTAGTAGAGATGGGGTTTCACCATGTTGGCCAGGCTAATCTCGAACTCCTGACCTCGTGATCCGCCCGGCTCGGCCTCCCAAAGTGCTGGGATTACATGCATGAGCCGCTGCACTGGGCCGTGCGTAGTTTATTCTAACGAAAAAAAAAAAAAAAACCACTGGATCATGATTTTTCATTTAAATATATCTTCAGAGGTGTTGATTTCGGTTAACTATTGTCTTACGTGACAAAAACTTCCTGATGAAAATGAAGGAAAATGGTTTGTGACATTCAAAACCCTATCTGCATGTTTAGTAAACTTGGGAAATCAGAAAAAAAAATACAGAAGTCTTAGCTTTGAGGAATGTTTTACGTTTCTGCATTTTCAACTGAAAGCTGTAACTTGCTTCTTAGCTGTCATACACCCATAGGAACACAAGAAAACACAATCAGCAAAACAGGCTACCAGATGTAGCCTTGTCTCCACTCTGCCGCCAGAGCTGGTTAGTTTTCCAGCAGGAGGGGTGGAGGTTGTGGTAACAGCTCTCAAGGAAAAAGCTGCCTATGAAATGACTGCATGAAAAGGGAATCTCTCTGTCACGGTCCTTAGCAGCATGGGGTGGTTTGAGGGAATGGTTCAGACACTAAGCATAGTAGACAGGGGTACTAGGACAGGCTACAATTATTCTCATGGTCATGATCCTTTTAAGCAGCATGGAATGGTTTGAGGAAATGGTTCAGGCATTGAGTACAGTAGGCAGGGGTCCTAGGACAGGCTATATTAATTCTCACCAGCAGACATCCTCCCTCCACTGTGGATCTGAAGAGCAATGAAATATGAGATATATATTCAATTATCAGGATGTAAGGGGAATTAAGGGAGGAAAGGAACTTAGTAGTAATTCAGTTAAAGTGAGGTAGCCTGGTGAGGTAAGAGGGGAAGTGAATATTTTACTTGATTCTAACACATTTAATTTGTCTTTCAACTAATACACAGAGATAACAATTTCAGACAATAGAACATTCTATTTCAGTCTCTGATTAGACCTTGCCACTGGATTTTACCCCCCGAGGGTTAACAAGAATCAGTCATAGCAGTAATTTCCTATGAAAAAGAAATCCTATCAGGCTCATGTCTGGGTCTGTGGAGCTGATGGACTGCTTCTTTTTTTATAGAGCCAAATCATTTTTGTAGGAATCAGCTTTCAAGTGTATAAATTTCAGTTTGGAAATTATTTCTTGCAATATTGCTTTCAGTAATTCTTTTTAAAACATTAATTAGCTGAATAAATCCACCAAGGAACAGAGTGTTTCTGCAAAATAATACGATAATTTGTACTGAAAATGTGATTGAATACTGGGAAGAAATAAAAGAAACAAAAAGATCACAAAGTTATAGCTATTCAAAATATGGGATGAAAATATACCTTCTTTTGTTTGATCTAATATATCTAATTTTTCATCCCACTTTCTTTTTCTATTTCTTTATACTCTCAATTTAGACAGTGTCTCCTCTGTGTATTTATTACAAAGATTCCAGTTGTGACTCACAATTCAGAATTCATGCTGATAGCCTACAGGAAAAATTCTCCATTACTGAGATAAATTTCAACATTAACAAAAAGTAAGCCTTTTCCTGCTATTACATTTTTTTTTTTTTGAGACAGGGTCTCACTGTTGTCCAAGCTGGAATGCAGGGGTGCAATCTCGACTCACTGAAATCTCCGTCTCCTAGGTTCAAGTGATCCTCCCACCTCTGTCCACCAAATAGCTGTGACTGCAGGAGCATGCCACCATGCCAGGCTAATCTTTGTATTTTTTTTTTTTTTTTTTTTTTTTTTAGTAGAGACGAGGTTTTGCCATGTTGCCCAGGTTGTCTGGAACTCCTGAGCTCAAGCGATCTGACTGCCTCGGCCTCCCAAAGTGCTAGGATTACAGGCGTGAGCCATTGCTATTACATTTTTTATCAATATTAGGGTGCAGTCAAGCCTCTTTCTTACAGGCCAACAGGTTTTTATTGCTGTGATACTTACATTTTAAACATTTATATATATATATGTGTGTGTATATATATGTATACATATATGCATGTGTATATTTATATGTGTGTGTATGTGTATGTGTGTATATATAAAATATATATATAAATTTTAGAGACAGGGTCTGGCTATGTTAACGAGGCTGGCCTCGAACTCCTGGGCTCAAGGTATTCTCTCACCTCAGCCCTCAGCTTCCCAAGTAGCTGGGACTACAAGCATGCGCCAGTGTGCTGGCTTGATCAGTTTTATTTTATTTTATTTTATTTTATTTATTTATTTTTTTGATCAGTTATGTTTTCATCAAGCACTTATGAGCACAACAGTTAAATCCAATGGACACAAGATAAATATAAATATACTCAACTAGGCTATGAAAAATGGCTTTTGCCTTATATCAAAGGAAAGTTCAATAATATTTTATATAAAAATTAAATTTAGGGCATTTAGCAATCAGGCATATTCTTCGAGTTTTTTTTTGTTGTTATGGTAACAGGTTTGCAATGAAGCAAATGCCTTAGTTATAACATTCAATGATAAAATGCCTTGATAATGCAGAAAACAGAAGAGCTATGATGAAGTGGGGAAAACACTGTACTAGAAATTCTCTGATCTAGGTTTAGGTCCTGGCTTGCCACTTACACTAGTGAAGTCTTGCTGGAGTAAGCCAATTTGTCTGTCTGGGGTCCATTTTTCTTACCTGTTCAATGGGGTAGTAATTTATAGCTCATAAGTTTTTGCTTGTTTGTATGTTTTAGTGTGGAGTAAATATCACAATGCCCATTAAAGGATTATTATAAATTTTAACGTGATAGTTGAATCTATGCTTTGGCACCCGTATACCCACAAGAACACTTCGCAAGTCAAATAAGAACACATTAAGATTGTGAGTGAATTCTGGTGTTGAAAGTGAATTATCAGAATGAAAATGTAAAGCTTTAAAATGTAGCTACTGGAGATTTTTCTCTAAGCTTAGCAGTAATGACATATGTGATAGTAACGAAGAAATTCTGAAAAAATTTTAAGAACGAATAATATCCAAATTTAAAGTAAATGACTGCCTTTGTTTATGAGAAGGAAGAAAGAGAAGGAAAGAAAGAAGCCAATTTTCTTTTGGCTTAGGATTGACTTGGCAATGCGGGCTCTTTTTTGGTTCCATATGAACGTTAAAGTAGCTTTTCCAATTCTGTGAAGAAAGTCATTGGTAGCTTGATGGGGATGGCATTGAATCTGTAAATTACCTTGGGCAGTATGGCCATTTTCACGATATTGATTCTTCCTACCCATGAGCATGGAATGTGCTTCCATTTGTTTGTATCCTCTTTTATTTCCTTGAGCAGTGAGTGGTTTGTAGTTCTCCTTAAAGAGGTCCTTCACGTCCCTTGTAAGCTGGATTCCTAGGTATTTTATTCTCTTTGAAGCAATTGTGAATGGGAGTTCACTCATGATTTGGCTCTCTGTCCGTTGTTGGTGTATAAGAATGCTTGTGATTTTTGTACATTGATTTTGTATCCTGAGACTTTGCTGAAGTTGCTTATCAGCTTAAGATTTTGGGCTGAGACAATGGGGTTTTCTAAAAATACAATCATGTCATCTGCAAACAGGGACAATTTGACTTCCTCTTTTCCTAATTGAATACCCTTTATTTCCTTCTCCTGTCTAATTGCCCTGGCCAGAACTTTCAACACTATGTTGTATAGGAGTGGTGAGAGAGGGCATCCCTGTCTTGTGCCAGTTTTCAAAGGGAATGCTTCCAGTTTTTGCCCATTGAGTATGATATTGGCTGTGGGTTTGTCATAGATAGCTCTTATTATTTTGAGATACGTCCCATCAATACCTAATTTATTGAGAGTTTTTAGCATAAAGGGTTGTTGAATTTTGTCAAAGGACAAAGAACAAAGCTGGAGGCATCACACTACCTGACTTCAAACTATACTACAAGGCTACATTAACCAAAACAGCATGGTACTGGTACCAAAACAGAGATATAGATCAATGGAACAGAATAGAGCCCTCAGAAATAACGTAACATATCTACAATTATCTGATCTTTGACAAACCTGAGAAAAACAAGCAATGGGGAAAGGATTCCCTATTTAATAAATGGTGCTGGGAAAACTGGCTAGCCATATGGAGAAAGCTGAAACTGGATCTCTTCCTTACACCTTATACAAAAATCAATTCAAGATGGATTAAAGACTTAAATGTTAGACCTAAAACCATAAAAACCCTAGAAGAAAATCTAGGCAATACCATTGAGGACATAGGCATGGGCAAGGACTTCATGTCTAAAACACCAAAAGCAATGGCAACAAAAGCCAAAATTGACAAATGGGATCTAATTAAACTAAAGAGCTTCTGCACAGCAAAAGAAACTACCATCAGAGTGAACAGGCAACCTACAAAATGGGAGAAAATTTTCGCAACCTACTCATCTGACAAAGGGCTAATATCCAGAATCTACAATGAACTCAAACAAATTTGCAAGAAAAAAACAAACAACCCCCTCAAAAAGTGGGCAAAGGACATGAACAGACACTTCTCAAAAGAAGACATTTATGCAGCCAAAAAACACATGAAAAAATGCTCATCATCACTGGCCATCAGAGAAATGCAAATCAAAACCACAATGAGATACCATCTCACACCAGTTAGAATGGCAATCATTAAAAAGTCAAGAAACAACAGGTGCTGGAGAGGATGTGGAGAAATAGGAACACTTTTACACTGTTGGTGGGACTGTCAACTAGTTCAACCATTGTGGAAATCGGTGTGGCGATTCCTCAGGGATCTAGAACTAGAAATACCATTTGACCCAGCCGTCCCATTACTGGGTATATACCCAAAGGACTATAAATCATGCTGCTATAAAGACACATGCACACGTATGTTTATTGCAGCACTATTCACAATAGCAAAGACTTGGAACCAAGCCAAATGTCCAACAATGATAGACTGGATTAAGAAAATGTGGCACATAATACACCATGGAATACTATGCAGCCATAAAAAATGATGAGTTCATGTCCTTTATAGGGACATGGATGAAATTGGATATCATCATTCTCAGTAAACTATTGCAAGAACAAAAAACCAAACACCGCATATTCTCACTCATAGGTGGGAATTGAACAATGAGAACACATGGATACAGGAAGGGGAACATCACACTCTGGGGACTGTTGCGGGGTGGGGGGAGGGGGGAGGGATAGCACTGGGAGATATACCTAATGCTAGATGAGGAGTTAGTGGGTGCAGCACACCAGCATGGCACATGTATACATATGTAACTAACCTGCACATTGTGCCCATGTACCCTAAAACTTAAAGTATAATAATAATAAAAAGAAAATGAAAAAAAAAAGAGGCCAATTTTTTTGTCCTCGCATATCCACAAACAAAAGCCGGTGAAGAACGTCTATCTGGACTAAACTTTTCTTCATTTCCTGCCGTAGGAAATTATGTTTAAATTTGTTATGGAAGGAAAACACAACTCTAAGTTTACACAGAAAACACACCAAAAACTTCTATAAAACTAACTCTCTTCTTTTAGCACTTATTAAATTGTTTTATAATTATTTTTCACATGCCTGGCACTTCTACCAGACTATGAATTGTATTCTCCAGAGACATGAACGGAAGAAAAGAGAGAAAGTGAGAGAGAGAGAGAGAAGAAAGTTGCCTCTGCCTCATTCATTTGTAAGCATTTATTGAGTACCTTTTATTTTATTACTTTTTAACTTTTAGTTTCAGGGGTATATGTGCAGGTTTCTTACGTAGGTAAATTACGTGTCGTGGGGGTTTGTCATACAGATTATTTCATTACTTTGGATTGAAATTGCTTGGTTATATGTCAACTTTATGTTTATCTTTTTAAGGAACTGCTAAACCATTTTCCACAGTGGCTAAAATATTTCACATTCCCACCAGCAAAATGCAGTGTTTCGATATCTTCATATCCTCACTAACACTTGCTATTGTCTGCTTTTTTTGATTCTAATCATCCTAATGGGTGTAAAGTTATATCTCATTCTGCTTTTGATTTGCATTTCCCTGATGACTAATGGTATTGAACATCTTTTCCTGTGCTTGTTGTCATTTGTATATCTTCTTTGAAGAACTGTCTGCTCAAGTTCTTGGCTTATTTTTCAGTTGGGTTTTTTGTCTTTTTGTTGAGTTTTAAGTGTTCTTACATATTTGGATACTAAACACTTATTAGGTGTATGATTGTAAATATTTTCTCCCATTCTGTAGGTTTTTTTTTCACTTTCTTGATAATGTCATTTGATGAATGAGTTTTTAATTTTGATGAAATCTAATGTATCTATTTTTAATTTGTTGCTCAGGCATTAGGTGTCAAATCTAAGAATTCTCACTAAATCTGAGCTCATGAAAATTTATCTCTATGTTTTCTTCTAGGAATTTTATAGCTTTATCTCTTATATTTTGGCTCTTGTTCCATTTTGAGCTAATTTTTGTATATGGAGCAAGGTAACAAGTTCAACTTCATTCTTTTCTATGTAGTTAGCCAGTAGTCCCAGAAACATATGTTGAAGACACTATTCTTTCCCCATTGAATGGTCTTGGCACCATTGTAAAAAATCAAATGGCCATAGATGTTTGGGTTTGTTTCTGAACTCTTCCTTTTGTTGGTTTTTATGTCCATCTTCATGTCAGTGCCACACTGTTTTGGCTTCTGCAGCTTTTTTTTTTATTTTTTTATTATACTTTAAGTTTTAGGGTACATGGGCACAATGTGCAGGTTAGTTACATATGTATACATGTGCCATGCTGGTGTGCTGCACCCATTAACTCGTCATTTAGCATTAGATATATCTCCTAATGCTATCCCTCCGCCCTCCCCCCACCCCACAACAGTCCCCAGAGTGTGATGTTCCCCTTCCTGTATCCATGTGTTCTCATTGTTCAATTCCCATCTGTGAGTGAGAACATGCAGTGTTTGGTTTTTTGTCCTTGCGATAGTTTACTGAGAATGATGGTTTTCAATTTCATCCATGTCCCTACAAAGGACATGAACTCATCATTTTTTATGGCTGCATAGTATTCCATGGTGTATATGTGTCACATTTTCTTAATCCAGTCTATCATTGTTGGACATTTGGGTTGGTTCCAAGTCTTTGCTATTGTGAATAGTGCTGCAATAAACATACGTGTGCATGTGTCTTTATAGCAGCATGATTTATAGTCCTTTGGGTATATACCCAGTAATGGGACGGCTGGGTCAAATGGTATTTCTAGTTCTAGATCCCTGAGGAATCGCCACACTGACTTCCACAATGGTTGAACTAGTTGACAGTCCCACCAACAGTGTAAAAGTGTTCCTATTTCTCCACATCCTCTCCAGCACCTTTTGTTTCCTGACTTTTTAATGATTGCCATTCTAACTGGTGTGAGATGGTATCTCATTGTGGTTTTGATTTGCATTTCTCTGATGGCCAGTGAAAATGAACATTTTTTCATGTGTCTTTTGGCTGCATAAATGTCTTCTTTTGAGAAGTGTCTGTTCATGTCCTTCGCCCACTTTTTGATGGGGTTGTTTTTTTCTTGCAAATTTGTTTGAGTTCATTGTAGATTCTGGATATTAGCCCTTTGTCAGATGAGTAGGTTGCAAAAATTTTCTCCCATTTTGTAGGTTGCCCGTTCACTCTGATGGTAGTTTCTTTTGCTGTGCAGAAGCTCTTTAGTTTAATGAGATCCCATTTGTCAATTTTGGCTTTTGTTGTCATTGCTTTTGGTGTTTTAGACATGAAGTCCTTGCCCATGCCTATGTCCTGAATTGTATTGCCTAGGTTTTCTTCTAGGGTTTTTATGGTTTTAGGTCTAACGTTTAAGTCTTTAATCCATCTTGAATTAATTTTTGTATAAGGTGTAAAGAAGGGATCCAGTTTCAGCTTTCTCCATATGGCTAGCCAGTTTTCCCAGCACCATTTATTAAATAGGGAATCCTTTCCCCATTGCTTGTTTTTCTCAGGTTTGTCAAAGATCAGATAGTTGTAGTTATGCGGCATTATTTCTGAGGGCTCTGTTCTGTTTCATTGGTCTATATCTCTGTTTTGGTACCAGTACCATGCTCTTTTGGTTACTGTAGGCTTGGTTCTGCAGCTTTGTAATAAGTTTTGAAATGGGGAGGTGTGAGTCCTCCAACTTTGTTCCTCTTTTTTAAGATTTTTTGGCTATTTGGGGCCTCTTGCATTTCCATACGAATTTGAGAACATGCTTATCCATTTCTACAGCAAACAAAAAAGCAAGTAAAGCTGTTGGGATTTTGATAGGCATTGCATTGAATCTGTGAATCAATGTAAGGAGTATTGTCATCTCAAAAAATATAAAATCTTCCAATCTAAGAACACAGATTTTGTTTATAAATTTGGTTTTTAAAAATTACCTTCAATAATATTTTGTAGTTTTTAGTGCGTAAGACTTGCACTTCCTTGATTAAATGTATTTTCCTGTATTAGGTTCTTTTTGATGAAGGTATAAATAAAATTATTTTCTTATTTTCATTTTCAGATTAATCATGGCTAGTGTATAGAAACATAACTGATTTTTGTATACTGTTCTTGAATCTTGCAACTTTACTGAATTTGCTTATGAATTCTAATAGTTATTTTTTAGACTTAAAAAAAGATTTTCATATATAAGATCATGTCTTCCTTGAATTGAGAGAGTTTTACTTCTTCGTTTTCAACCTTGGTCCTTTTTATTTCTTTTTATTGCCTAATTGCTCTGGCTAGAACCTCTACTACAGTGTTGAACAGAAGTTGCAAAAGTGGACATCCTTTGCTTCATTCTGCTCTGGATGGGAAAGCATCCAGTCTTTCACCATTCGGTATGCCATTAACTGTGGGTATTTCTGTAGACTGTTTCTTTTTTTTTTTTTCACATTGAGGAAGTTCCTTTCAATTCCTAGTTTGTTGAGTGTTTTTATCATGAAAAGGTGTTGGATGTTGTCAAATGCTTTTACTACATCCTTTAAAATGACCATGTACTTTTTATTCCTTCATTCTAATAATATAGTATATTACAGAAATTCATTTTTATGTGTTGAACCAACCTTGTATTTCTGGGGTAAATCCTACTTAGTACTGGTGTGTGATCCTTTTGTTATGCTGCTGGATTTGCTTTGCCAGTATTTTGAGAATTTTTGGGTTGTATTCACAAGGCCTATGTATGTGTAGTTTCTTTTCTTGTGATGTCTTTGTTTAGCTTTGGTGTCAGGGTAACACTCATGGCTTCCTGGCATGAGTTAGAAAGTGCTCCCTCCTCTATTATCTTTCGGACAAGTTTGAGCAGGATTGATGTTAACTGGTGTTAATTTCTCTTAAAGTGTTTGGTAGAATTTGCCAGTAAAGCCATCTGTTCCTAGGCTTTTCTTTGTTGGTAGTTTTTTGATTACTGGTCCAATTTCTATACTTGTTATAGGTCTATGCATAGTTTCCATTTTTTCTTGATTCAGTGTTGGCAGTTTGTATATTTTTAGGGAATTGTCCATTTCACCTAGGTTATCTAATTTATTGGCCTACAATTATTCATAGTATTTTTTTCAATTTCCCATATTTCTATAAGGTCTGTATTAATGACCTCGGTTTTTTTTTTTTTTTTTTTTTTTTTTTTTTTTTTTTTTTGAGATTGGGTCTTGCTCTGTCTCCCAGGCTGGAATGCAGTGATGCTATCACAGCTCACTGCAGCCTCCATCTTGCGGGCTCAAGCAATCCTCCCATCTCAGACTCCCGAGTAGCTGGGACTACAGCCTTGTGTCACCATGTCCAGCTGATTTTTTAAAAAAATTTATTTTAAGATCTGGAGTACATGTGCAGGATGGACAGGTTTGTTACACAGGTAAATGTGTGCCATGGTAATTTGCTGCACTTATCAACCCAGTACCTTCGTATTAAGCCCAGCATGCATTAGTTATTTTTCCTGATGCTCTCCCTCGCCCTGCCTCTGATGACAGGCCCCAGTGTATCTTGTTCCCTCTCTCTGTTTATGTGTTCACATCGTTCACCTCTTGTAAGTGAGAACATGCGGTGTTTGGTTTTCTGTTCCTGTGTTAGCTTGCTGAGGATAATGGCTTCCAGCTCCATCCATGTCTCTGCAAAGGACATGATCTCATTCCTTTTTATGGCTGCATAGTATTCCATGGTGTATATGTACCCTTTTTCCTTTTCAGTCTACCATTGATGAATGACCCCACTTTCATTTTTGATTTTGAGACTTCTTTCCTCTTTATCCATCCAGCTGAAGTTTTGTTAACTTTTCTTTTTTAAGAGACAGGGTCTTGCTCTAATCACCCAGGCTGGAGTGCAGTGGTGTGATTATAGCCCACTATAACCTCAAAATCCTGGTTGATCCTCCTGCCTCAGCCTACTGAGTAGCTGTGAATACAGGTGCATGCCACCATGCTAGGATACTTCTTAAATTATTTGTAGAGATGGGGTCTTGCTATGTTGATCAGACTGGTCTTGAACTCCTGGCTTCAAGGGATCCTCCCTTCTACCTTGGCTTCCCAAAGTGATGGGATTGCAGATAGGAGCCACTGTGCCCAGTCTGGTTTGTCAATTTTGTTCAATTACTCAAATAATCAACTTTTGATTTCATTAATTTTCTATATTATTTTTCTATTCTCAATTTCTTCATAGGGAAAATTGTTCCATAGTCTTCTTTTCTTCTAATGTTTTCGTTTGATTCTGATATCAGGGTAATTCTTGGGTTGATAAATCATTTGGGAAATGTTTCTCCTTTTACTTTTAAGGAGACTCTGGAATGTAGGCAGTTGTCTACTCTGTAGTTCATTTCTCAAAGCCTTTGATATACTGTTTAGGATCAGATATACATGTGCAGCTCATGATGAAGTCCAGGAGTTCATAAATAAATATATTGGATTGCTTTCTTGAGCTCCTTCCTCTTCTCAATCTCCTTGACACATCTGGTGCCTAGAGTTTCCCTTCTTGGTCAACTTGCTAGCACACTGGGTCTTAGTTATGTGCTTTGCTGCATATTTTTCATAACTGTGCCTGCCCACTAGACCAAGAAAATAAGTGGGAAAAGAATACCAGGGTATTTCCTTCAGTTTGTTACCAGTAGAGATTTCCCCTTTCATTTCCTTGGACTAGAGGTTCAAGGACTAGAGCTTTCTTTGGAACTCTTTTTATTGCACCCAGAAGATAGTTCTGTGTTTCTGGCTGCAAATGCAGGATGGGAGATATCAGGGGAAAAAAGAAATGTTAAACTCAAATCTGGTTCGGTGGTCCTTTGAGTTCTCTTTAGCTGTTCTATGCATTCATCCAGGGGTTTTAGTTGCTTTTAGTGGGTGGGACACATTGGAGTGCACTCAGTCCATCTTGAATAAAAGCAGATTTCTCCTTTTCATTTATTACTCTTGTTTTGTTCCTGAGAATTCTTTAAAGTGGTGATGATGAAGGAGATGGGTATAGGGTTAAGGGGAAATAGATGTGGGAAAAGAAAACAAAGAACGTTTATTGCCCATTCCTCCCTATCCAAATATTATATAATCGACTTTTATTCTGCAGTTAAGAGAAGTCTTTGCAAAGTAATCACAGGCATAAGAAACAACCTAATTTACATCTTTTTCTCTTTTTTTGAGACAGAATCTCACTCTGTTGCCCAGGCTGGAGTGCAGTGGCATGATCTCGGCCCACTGCAGCCTCTGCCTCCCAGGTTCAAGCAATTCTCCTGCCTCAGCCTCCTGAGTAGTTGGGACTTCAGGTACATACCACCATGCCCAGCTAATTTTTGTATTTTTTTAGTAGAGGTGGGGTTTCACCATATTGGTTAGGCTGGTCTCGAACTCCTGACCTCAGGTGATCCACCAGCCTTGGCCTCCCATAGTGCTGGGATTACAGGCATGAGTCACCGTGTCTGGCCCTAATTTACATTTTAGAAATATCTTTTATGTTGCTGTATTAAGACTCTATTCCTAAGGGGAGGGAACCCTAAAATCAAAAGCAGATGAGTTCTTCCCTGGTTCTTGCCTCTGAGAAACAAGTTATATTTGGATAGTGGACTATTTTATCTCTTTGTTTTAACCCAATCATTCTGACTCTAAGAATGTTTGGCTTTGTATTTAATCAAAAGCCAAGACATAAGTAAAATTGCAATGTAAATATTTTCTGAGGCAAACTCAAGTAAGCCTGTGTAAGTCTCTTTTGTGTTGCTGTGACAGAATCCCACAGACTAATTTATATAAAAAAGAAATTTATAATTTTGGAGGCTGGAAAGTCCAAGGCTGAGGTGCTTGCCTCAGGCAAAGGCCTTCTTGCTATGTGATCCTGGTGCAGAAGGCAGAAGGGCCCTAGTACTTGATAAAGCAAGAACAAGAGAAGGCTGAGCCCGCTCCTGTGGTAACATCAATCCATTTATGAAGACTGAGCCCTCATTACCTAATTACGGCATAAAGTTCCCACATCTCAACACTGTTGCATTGGAGATTGAGTTTCCAACACATAAACTTTGGGGGATACATTTATTTATTTATTTATTTAATTTTAGAGACAGTCTTGCTTTGTCACGCAGGTTGGAGTGCAGTGGTGTGATCATAGCTTACTGCAGCCTCAAACTCCTGGGCTCAAGTAATCTTCCTGCCCTCAGCCTCCTGGGTAGCTGGGACCCAGGAGGCATATGCCACCATACCCAGCTAATTTTTAAAAATTTTTTTGTAGAGATGTGGTCTCGCTATGTTGCCCAGGCTGGTTTCAAACTCCCAGCCTCAAGCAATCCTCCCACCTTGGCCTCCCAAAGTGCTGGGATTATAGACATGAGCCACCATATCTGGCTAGGGGATGCATTCAGACTGTGGCAAAACCAAATTATTTATTTGTTAATTTTTTTTTTTACAGAGAAGTTAAATTATGTCCTGTATTTTACATTTGAATTTTATTATACTGAAATAAGTTTCACCAGTGTAAATACTTCTTACATAAATTTTACAGGGAAGAATTGTTTTTCTTTTTGCATTTTGATATCAGTTTAAAAAAGAAATCAATGTTGATTTTATTAGAAATAATCTTGGAACAGAAGACCAGTTAATTTAATTATTTCAGGTCACAGCTGAAATAATTTCTGTATAATTAAAAAATTTGCTATGATTTATACTATTTACTTTGTGTTACATAGTGGAGTACTTTACAACGTAGTGACATTTAGTACGTTCACAATATTGTGAACCTTTACAATTGATATCAATTTTAATAATAAACTTTCTATCTCTATTTAATAATTGTACCAGAATTTTAAAAGTAAGATGTATAGGTCAGACTTTTATTATCTATAGATTCGGTCAGTTTTGGTCTTATTTTTATTGTCATTTTCTAGAATATATTTAAAAATGAACTAAAGATAATTTGTAGTTATTTTTAGCTAATCCATGAAAAATTGTGAGCAATTCTCTTTTTTTCTATTTCCATTATTTGGAATATTACAATGTTATACTAATTCTTCAATATGCTTGTGACTATTGATTGCAGAGAATCCTAAAGTGGTCGTGGTGTTAGTGGTGCATATAGCAAATACTGGGGTTGAATATGAGAGTGAAAGAGATTATTCAAGATCTACATTCAAGCTTATATGTATTCTAGAAGAAGGGGGACAGACAGTAAACTAAAGCTATAATATAATTTCAGATAGTAATAAATGCTATGAGAAAAATAAAACATAGTCATTTGATAATAGTGACCTGGGGGGAGGTTCACGTTCTGGGGCCTGGGGATGACATCTCCTGATTGAGCTGAGATCTGAATTATTAGAAGGAGCCTTTTGTGGAAGATTTGGGTGGAAGATTATGCTAGGCAGAAAGAAAAGCAATTTCAAAGACTCTGAGTTTTGAAGGAGTTTGGTGGACTTGAAGAAGATAAAAAAGACCAGGCAGTGTGGCCAAAATAGGGGTGGCAGGATATAGTGAGGTTAGAGAACTAGCTTGGGATAGATCATAGAAGCCCATTTAGGAAAGAAGAAGATGTTCGCAATTGATTCCAAGTGCAAAGAGAAGCCATTGGTAAGTTTCAAGAAGGAGCTTAACATTATCTTATTTACATTGTAGAAAGTTCACTCAGATTGCTGAATGAAGAATAGATTTTAGGGGCTCCAAAAGAAAAGCAAGGAGAATGTTCAGAAGCTATTGCCATACTATTAGCAAAAAGATGTCAGTGGCATAGACAAGGATGGTAGCAGCAAAGCTGAAGAGATGTGGACAGATAAATTTGTGGGCTGGGATATTTTTTGAGACAGAGCTGATCAGGCTTGATCCTTGATTAGTAAGTATGTGTGTAGGTGATATACGAGGTGTCAGAGGTAGGAGTAAGTCAAGGATGACTTCAAGAAATTTTACCTGAAGAAGTGAATTGAAGGTGATGCCCTTTATTAGCTAGGGAAGACAGAGAGAGAAACACTTTTGGGAGCTCAGAGGGAGAGGTCATGGCTACAGTTCAAAATGGAGAGTCTACAGCACACACATAATCAAGCCATGGGATTGGAAGCCATCTCAGCAGAGAGTCTAGATCAAGCTTGTTGAACCCACGCCCCATGAGCCACACGTGGCCCAGGACAACTTTGAATGCAGCCCAACACAAATTCTTCCTTAAAACATTATGAGATTTTTTTTTTTGCACTTTTTTTGATTTTAGTTCACCAGCTATTGTTAGTGTTAGTGTATTTTAGGTTTGACCCAAGACAATTCTTCTTTCAATGTGGCCCAGGGAAGCCCAAAGATTGGACACCCCTGGTCTAGATAATAAAGAAGTGAAAGACGCCCAGCACAGCTAGCAAAAGAGGCTAAGTAGAGAGTCCCTTTTGATGGAAAGAGAAAGAGACAATGTTATGACATGGAATTCAAGAGAATAAAGCATTTCAAGAAGGAGGAAAGTTGCTGCAAGGTCAAGTCAGATGAGGACAGACAAGTGACCATTTGTTTCACACTATGGACATTATTGTGACCTTGACAAGTACCATTTCAGTGGATTGTAATGAAAGGGGAGAAAAACTTTACTGGAGTGGATTGAAAATAAAAGAGATGATAAAAGGAACTCACTAAATATAGGCATCTTTTGATAAGTTTTGCTTTGAAGGGGTTATAAAAATTTAGTAATAACTGGAGTATAATATGAGGTCAAAGGAGATTTTTAAAAAATGGACAGTTTGTGTCTTTATGCTTATTGAAATTATCCAGTAGACAGAGGGAGTCTAATGATACCGGGGAGTCATAGGATAATTACAGGCTTGAATTTCTTGAACTTGGGAAAAGGAGATGATATTTAGAAAGAAAGGGGGAGGGGTTGGCATTTTTAGGCACACGGAAAACTTTTTTTAATTCATTGTAGTAAAAGGAAGGCAGAGAATGCGAGTGTAGATGCAGATAAGTTAATAAAGTTGGGGTGGAAAGTTGAAGGAGCTCCCATCTGATTGCTACTTTATTCTCAGGGAAGAATGAGGTGAGTTCATGAGCTGTGGAAGGGAGTGGTTTTTGGAGATATGAAGAGAAAGGAGATCTGAAACTTGAACCAAAGAATGGAAAGTATAGAAGGATTCCTGGGCACTGGTGAGTGCTCCTCTAAGACTAGTGGTCAGAAGTTTAGAGAAAGGTCAGCCTACATGATTGTTGGTTTTCTCCAGGAGAATTCAGCTTCTGAAGCAGAGGGGAAGACTACAAGGACAATTGAGTTTAACCATGGTTGGGCTTTATTTAAATGGGAATAATGTAGAGTAAGAGAGAGAGAGAGAAGGACAAAGAAGTTAAAATGAATTGATTATAATGATTATCCATAGACTCTAGACTGGGAGAGGTAATTAATGAGTGAGTTAATGGGAATGGAAAATATTTCACTTCTCTCCCACTAGTTGGATAATTGCTGACACTGGAAGTGGGAAAGGGGAGGAATACAGAAAGAATGCATCTCAAAAAGGTGGAAACTTGACATTAAAACTTTTTTTCTACTCTGGTATATTTACTAGTGGTGTCAGGGTCCAAGGTTATGGCATTAAACATGGATGAATGAGGTTGGATTTGAGGAAGAATCTAAGAACCGAGAAGACAAGGGATTAAGAAAACCAGTTCTTTTCATAAAATGCTTGCTGGGGAAAATATTTACAAACTGTCCATCTGACAAGGGATTAATAATGAGCATATATAAGGAGGTGAAACAACTCTACAAGAAAAAATGTAGTAATCCAGCTGAAAATGGACAAATGATATCAATAGACATTTCTCAAAAGAAGACATACAAATGGCAAGCAGGCATATGAAAAGGTGATTAACATCATTGATCTCCAGAGAAATGCAAATCAAAGCTACAATGACATATCATCTCATTCCAGTTAAACTGGCTTTTATTCAAAAGACAAGTGATTACAAGTGTTGGTGAGGGTGTGAAGAAAAGGTAACCCTGGAACACTGTTGATGGGAATGTAAACTGGTACAACCACTATGGAGGACAGTTTGAAAGTTCCTCAAAAAAACAAACAAACAAAAAAATAGAGCTACCATATGATCCAGCAATCCCACTTCTAAATGCATACCCAAAAGAAAGAAAATCAGTATATTGAAGAGACATCTGTGCTTTCATGTTTGTTGCAGTACTATTCACAAGAGCCAAGATTTGTAAGCAATCCAAGTGTTTGTCAGCAGGTGAATGAATAAAGAAAATGTGGTGCATATACACAATGGAGTACTATTTAGCCCTAAACAAAGAATGAGATCCTATCATTTGCAAAAACACGGATTGAACTGGTTGTGATTTTATTAAGTGAAATAAACCAGGCACAAAAAGACAAACTTGTCATGTTCTCACTTATTTGTGGGAGCTAAAAATTAAAATAATTGAACCCATGGAGATAGAGCGTGGAATGATGGTTACCAGAGGCTGGGAAGGTAGTGCAAGGGGAGTTGGGGAGGAAGTGGGGGATGATTAATAGGTATAAAATATAGTTTGAATGAATAAATCTAGTATTTGATAGCACAACAGCATGACTACAGTCAATAATAATTTACTGTACATTGAAAAATAGCTAAAAGAGTATTACGGAATTGTAACACAAAGGGTAAATGCTTCAGATGATGGATACTTCATTTACCTTGATGTGATTATTACACATTGTATGCCTTTGTATTATTACATATTGTATCAAAATAAACCATATACCCCAAAAATATATACAAGTACTATGTACCCATAAAAATAAAAAAAAAATGTTACCTGGGGAAAGTAATAACCTGGGCAATTCTGTCTAAAAATGAAAACAGTCACTATGGTCACAGAACAGAATCATCTTCTCTCTATCATTCCTATCACTGCAATCAGTGCTCAGGGCATTCATCTTATCTTGGAGCAGTGGTATTTGAAGCACAGTCATGTTCAGAGAATATTACTTCCTCATGCCCATACCACCATGACATGGGAATGAACCATTCCCGGTTAAAAGTTTACCCTCCAGTCTAACCATAAAAGAGATAATTTTAAAATTCCAAATTCTGAAAGTCATAAGATGTGCTGTATAAAAATAAGGAATTGAGTGCCTATCTCAGCTTTTCTTTGGCATAATTATTTAACTTATTACATCCTTATTTTGAGTACCTGCCATATTATGTTAGGTTATAGCAAGAGGTATTTATGAGAACAGACCTTGAATTAGTACTGGAAAAAAAGGTTTTATCTAAATAACGGTGTGCAAAGGTCAGCAAATTTATCTGACATTTTTGAAAGCTTTGGATATTTCTTTTTCTGTCTTCCAGTATAATTTGGAGAAATAAAACAATTACAGTCATATGCTGCATAATGATATTTTGGTCAATAATGGACTGGGTATATGTCTGTTGTCCCATAAGATTATAATGGAACTGAAACATTCCTATTTCTTTGTGACATCTAGCTGTCATAAAGTCATAGCAGAATTCCTTTATTTAAAAAATAAGGCTATGTGCGGTGGCTTATGCCTGTAATCCCAGCACTTTGGGAGGCCGAGGTGGGTGGATCATGGGCTCAGGAGTTCAAGACCAGCCTGGCCAAGATGGTGAAACCCCGTCTCTATTAAACATACAAAAATTAGCCGGGCATGGTGGCGGACACCTGTAATCCCAGCTACTGGGGAGGCTGAGGCAGAGAATTGCTTGAACCCAGGAGGCAGAGGTTGCAGTGAGCTGAGGTGGCGCCACTGCACTCTAGCCAGGGCGACAGAGTGAGACTCTGTCTCAAAAAAAAAAAAAAAGAAAAAAAAGTTTAGTGTAGCCTAAGTGTATAGCATTTATAAAGTGTGCAGTAGTACAGTGATGTCCTAGACCTTCACATTCACTCACTAACTCACCCAGAGCAACTTCCTGTCCTGTAAGCTCCATTCATGCTAAGTGCCCTATACAGGTCTACCATTTTTTAAGTTCTATATCATATTTTTACTGTACTTTTTCTGTTTAGATACACAAATATTTACCATGGTGTTACTATTGCCTAAAGTGTTCAGTACAGTAGCATGCCATACAGGTTTGTAGCTTAGGAGCAATAGATTATTCCATATAGCCCAGGTATGTGGTAAGTACACTCTATGATGTATGCACAATGATGAAATCGCCTAACGACACATTTCTCAGAGCATATCCCTATCATTAAGACTGTTAAAATGTGTGGAATTAGAAGGTAGTGTAAACTTTGTAGCAGTTGTTGGAAATCTATAAATTAGGATTAGAATGGTCGCCTGTTTACCTGAAAGAGTTAATCCATCCTTTTATGATACTTTTTATTCCTACAAGGAAGTCCTCAGACACTGATAAAACTTTGCTTTGTGTATTCTTTCACTCAACAAATATTTATCTCAAGCTACCTATTGGCCAGACATGAACAAAGCTGAAGTCCCTGCCCTTAGGGCTATATCTTCTGGTGGCAGGAGGAAGACAATTAAAAACAACAACAACAAGTACACATTTGTTATATGAAAGCTGATAACTGTTGTGGAAAAAAAGGTGGGATCTGAGAGTTCAGCATATTTGTGTCCACTTCTACCATCTTCTGGCTGAACTTCTTGCTTTTCTCACATGTCATGCTGTTCCACCTAAAATTTTCCAGCTTGGCTCACAGTGTCTGCCTTGGCTCTTGGTGGTCTCTCAGCTCAAACACCAAATCATGTAGGGAGTCATTCCTGACTCTTCTGTAAGTGGAGTAAGATGAAATTCTCCTCACTTTGTCCTTCTTTTTTAACCCCTATAGACTTCTATTATAATACCTATAAAATGTTATCACTTTTTTTTTGGTTTATGGTTCATTCAAACTGCTATTGTTTGAATGTGTCCCTCAAATTTCATGTGTTGGAAACTTAATCACAAAACTTATATGTTGATTGGAGGTGGAGCCTTTGAGAGGTAATTAAGATTAGATAAGGTCATCACATGCCCCCAGGATGGGACTAGTAGTTTTACAAGACGAGAAAGAGAAACCTGAGTCAGTAGGCATGATCATATCCTCTTGCCATGTGATGCCCTCGGCCATGTTCTGACACAGCAAGAAGGCCCTCACTGCTGCTGGACCCTCAGTCTTGAACTTCCCAGCCTCCAGAACTGTGAGAAATAAATTTATTTTCTCTATAAATTACCCAGTCTGTGGTATTTTGTTATAGCAATACAAAAAGAACTAAGACTTGTTCCTTTCTACTAGTGCTAAACAGTAAGATCTGCAAGGTAGGAATTGTGTCCTATTAATCTTTGTATCCTTAGCAGTCATTGCAGAGTGTGATGTATTGTGTCAAAATATTTTTTCACAGAAATAAAATTTAGAGCAATAAAAAGAAATACGCTATCAAGGCATGAAAAGCTAGGAAGGAACCTTCAATGCATATTGCTAGGTGGAAGAAGCCAGTATAAAAAGGCTGCATACTGTGTGATTCCAAGTTTATGAGATTTTAGAAAAGGCAAAATTGTAGACATAGTAAAAAGATCAGTGGTTGCAGGTGATTTGAGAAAGGAAAGATGATATGAGTAGGTGGAGCACAGGGGATTTTTAGGGCAGTGAAACTATTCTGTATGAGACTGATTGTGAATACATGTCAGTATGCGTTTATCAAACCAATAGATATTCAACACAAAGAGTGAACCCTAATGTTAACTATGGAGTGTAGTTAATAATAATGTATCAACATTGGTTCATCAATTGTAACAGATGAACCACACGAATGCAAGATGATAAGAATAGGGGAAATTGTATATGGTGGGGTTGGATGTTGGTTTATGAAATGTTGTGTATTATCTGCTCAATTATTCTGTGGATCTAAAACTATACTAAAAAAAGTCAACAACTGTATTAGTTCATTCCCATGTTGCTAGTAAAGATATACCTGAGACTGGGTAATTTATAAAGTAAAGAGATTTAATGGACTCACAGTTCCACATGGCTGGGGAGTCCTCACAATTATGGTGGAAGATGAAGGAAGAGCAAAGGCAGGTCTTACATGGTGGCAGGCAAGAGAGCTTGCATAAAGGGGAACTCCCCTTTATGAAACTATCAGATCTCCTGAGACTTATGCACTATCATGAGAACAGCACAGGAAAAATCTGCTCCCATGATTTAATTACCTCCCACTGGGTCCCTCCCATGACATGTGAGAATTATGGAAGCTACAATTCAAGATGAGATTTGTGTGGGGACACAGCCAAACCATATCAATAACATTTAAAAAATAAAATTCGGCAGCAAAAGCAAGGTTTGAGGTAAGATAGTGGACTAATAGGGAAAGTGCTATTTTTTTAATAAAAGAAATGCTTGAGCATGTGTTCATGAGAAAGGTGTGAAATACTTCATAAGCAGCTACCATCCTTCCTGATTCCTTTTTTTATACTATGTAAAATGGAAGGAACCAGCTTTACATAGAGTGTTGGTGTGCTAGATAAAGAATATAATATTTAGACTGACATGCATTTGAATCCTACTAACTGTGACACCATGCTGAGCCTGTGTCCTCATCTGTGCAGATCATAATACTGACCTCAGAGGGTTGCAGTGAGGATTAAATGAGACACAATGTCTGAAATGTTAGCACAGTACCTGGCATACAGAATATGAATAGTTTTCTTCATTCTTCCTTTTAGGAGAGCATAAAAATGAAACAAAAGTCTGAATTATTCATGGGCAAAAATAGAGAGGTGATATGTTGTTATAGCACCCACATTTTTTACCTTTAAATCTGAGGACTAGCTCTGTGTTCCATACGGTTCTGTTGGGCCTATGGCCCAACATTTGACCAGGCACCTATGCCATTTTTATCCTTATTAAACTCCTATATAATGACAGGTGAAGTGCCTTTTCTCATGTTAGGGTTTCTCAGGTAAGAGATGATGTTATGTGTCATAAATGAGAAGGTATGAGATGGAATTGGCAAGTTAAGAAATACAAGAAAATTCTGGAAATGCCTGGATAGAAAATGTGGCATTGGTAACAATATTGTAATAATAGCACACCTTATAATTATTTGGCTACACATCTCAGTTTCCTTACCAGAGAACAAGTTGCTATACCATGTGTTGATCATCTTTACATCTGTCTCTCCCATCAGGATGCAGTGTAATATTGAGTAGTAGGTGCTCAACAAATGTTTACAAAATTGAGAGTTTATATGGCTCTTGATTTTAAAAAGCACTCTTTTTTTAATAAGATAGAAAGGAAGCTTACCTATTAGATCCTCACTTACATATAGCAAAGACCAGGCCTATAGAACAGATTTAACACATACACTCACACATGCGCACTCCATATATGTAAAAACAAATTATTAACCTGGGAGCATATCTTCCATTTTTTTCTCTTTTTCAGCTTCTTAGTATGGACGGCTCTGCCAAACATCTGTAGGTTTAAAAGAAGTTCAAAGCAAGGTAGAAAGAAAAGAAATCCACTTAAAGTATCTCAGCTTGACTCCTGTCACTCTGTACAAGGTTTGAATGTGATTTGGACACCAACACACCAAGCTAAGCTTTGTGTGAGAAAGTAAATGTTAGACTGAAATGGGAAACTGAAGCAGGTCATTCTTCCTTTGTTGAGCTTCTCCTCCTTGTCAAACCCCTGGGCTGCATGTTGTCGTTCCTGTTTGTCACTGATAGCCTATCACAAAGCCCCTTCTGTTATGGTGGCTTACCTGAAACTCCCACTAGCCAGCAGAGCATAAACACCAAGGTGGAGCCACCTTCCAAAAACCTCTCACACACAATAGCTACTGCTGTCGCAGCAGGACAATTGAGTGGATCTTATGGTGGTATATTTTTTCCCATCATATGCATGACAGAAAGTCTAATGGACCTTGTTAGTTTCTTGAGTAGCTTTTAGGGCCCTATAAAATGGCCTGTTATCAGTTTCATCAGTGTTCCCAAGATGTCTACCTGGATGTCAGAGATCCGTGGAAGTAGCTGTATTTTCAGTCCTCCAGTGAACAAGGAGCAGGTAGTAATTAGCTAAAAAATTGGAGAAGAAAACTTTGCACCCAAGAAGGAAAAGCCAAATACTAAGAACACTTTGTGATGAATAAATATTTCTCTAATTCTTTTTGGTTAAGTTTTACTTCACAGCCTTTAAAACTTGAAAGATTAAATGGGCAAAGTTATATTGTACAAAACTTTACTGTGTACTTTAATAAAGAATTTGGATCACTGCTCTTTACAGTAAAAATGTTAAAAACTTGATATGATTTAATACCCAATTTTGGGATCTATAATTCCCTAAGTGTAGTGCTAACTATACCCTTGTATTGTCTGGGGGAGGAATATAGAAAATGGAGAAGAATAGTGAAATAACATCAGAAAGAAACTATTTTAAAAATTACCATTTAGAATTTTAGGTATGTCTCTATCATTTTCGAAGACTTAAATGTTGATGTAAAATGGAAAAACTTTAGGACATACAGAAAGAAAAACTGTGTCTGACCCAAATAATGCAAGCCATCTAGTAGGAGTTCCTGTAAGAACCTAAACTATATTTCATATGTTGATGCTTACTAATATTTCCTAGAATTCCTAAAACCTTTGTGTTTCCTCCTGAAATGATAAATGCCATTTAGGTTTCCGTACTAAGTATGTAGGCTTAGGGCTCTCCTGTTTTAGGTTGTGATTGAATATAATTCTCCATCCACAAATTCAACTGTACAAACTAATTTCTAGTGTGGTAGACAATTATTCTCTGTCAATCTGGAGTCTCCTATAATATAGCATGGGATTTGTTTAACTTGGATGGGGTCACATAGTCTGAGGCATTGGAGTGGGGTGCGCCTGATCAAGGCATCATTTGTGGAGTGATGGCCTCTTCTCATTCACCCATGCAAGTTACTAACCATGAACTTGATTAGCATGTTACATAACGCAAGTTTCTCATCCATGAACGCTGTCAGACTTGCCAGCACTCCTATCACTTTCTACTATGATTTGCTGTGTGCGCAAATCTTTCTGTTGCTTCTAAGCACCATGAAAGTGTGGAAATCTATGTATGAGACTGTGGCTTATCTTCTTAAAAGTTCTGTGCAGCATTTCTTCTCTGACTCCAAATAAATCTGCCCAGGAATAGAATGCACGGTTTTTCCCTCCACAACCCACCGATCGCTGCTCTTATTACCTTCTCTTGATGTGTCATCCTCCCATGCCAAAACTCAAGGAACCACAAAGGATCGTAGTACAGGACTGTAGGTTGAGCTTTGCACTGGAACAGTGCTCCAGCCCAGTGTAATCACCATAATCTGAGATTTTACTGGAAGTCAAATACCCCAGATAAACTGAATAAGAAATTCTGACGTTGGGGTCTTCATGTCTGTGTTTTAACAAGTCTTCTGTGTAATTCTGATACATATTAAAATGTGAGAACCTCTGGACCAGAGGATGGTTAACTTGAATCAAGTGAATAATATTAGATAAATGGCTTCATTCTTGGGACTCAGTTTTCTCATTTAAGATTAATAATTGCTCTCTACTTAATCTAATGGGAAGAGAACCCTTTTGTTTTATTCTTCTGACACCAAGGTATACCTATATGCCCCAGCTAGTTTCACTTGGTTTGTTGATTATAACATATATTCTTGGTCTTATCCTTTGCCCCTGCAGGGCAAGGACATTTCCAAATGTTTATTTATGTTGCATTTCCCTAGAAGGCAATGTAACAATATGGATAAGGGTGAAAGGTTTCAGGAAAACCAGCCTGGAGTCAAATCACCAGCTCTACCTCTTACTATGTGACCTTCATCAAGTTTTCAACTTCCCTGTGCCTCAGTTTCTCAACTGCAAAATTAAGATGGTGCTGTAATAATCCCTACCTCATAGAGGCAGAATGAGATAACATTCATGCAAGAATGAAATTGCACAGATTGGATATATATAGCAGGGCTTAGCGTTTGTTAGTGCCTAATTAATATTAACAAGTTGTGAGTTGAATGCAGGCTAGGCACTTTTCTAAGGGTGAGAGATGAAACAGACATCCTTTCTTCCTTGGAGGAACTTGTTCTACAAGTAAGAAGAACCAGACATAAAAATATATAATCCCCAAAGGTATTTGAGAGTCTCTAACAGCACCTGGGAAAAAGAAGGACACAGTAATGGGACAAGGAGTCTTGAAAGGACAGTTCAAGTACAGTGAGCAGACTCATCACCATAACCGATGGAAGACCAACAAACGAACTTCATATCATAATGAAAACACCAATAATATCAGTTGACACTATTTTCCAGATCCTTTTCATGATCTAATTAGTCTTCTCAGAAAACCCATGAGTTAGATATTTGTATGATCTCCATTTGATAAACTAGGAAACTGGGACTTATTGAGGCAAAGTAACTTGCTTAGAGAAGCTTAACTAAAAATGTGGGAGTTTTGACTCGAATTTATATGCCTCAGAATTTGCTTATTATTTAAATAAAACTCATGTAAAATGTTTTAATCATTTCAACAGTTATATTCTTTAGGTTTCACATGTTAAATGTGAATAAACAATCCTAAAGAAATAAAGTGACTTGTCATAGGGAAAAAATATTTTTAAAACATTTTTAAGAGAGAGAGGATTGCAATTTAAGGCCCTGACTTTTCTTTCTTTTCTTCCAACTTTTATCTTAAATTCTGGGGTACGTATTTGCTACCTATATAACAAACCTGCAGGACATGCAGGTTTGTTACACAGGTAAACGTGTGTCATGGTGGTTTGATGCACAGATCAACCCATCACCTAGGTATTAAGCCTAGCATCCATTAGCTATTCTTCCTGATGCTCTCCCCTGTCCCACAACAGGCCCCAGTGTGTGGTGTTCCCCACCCTGTGTCCATGTGTTCTCATCGTTCAGTTCCCACTTATAAGTGAGAACATGCAGTGATTGGTTTTCTGTTCCTGCGTTAGTTTGCTGAGGCTAATGAAGGCCCTGACTTTTCTTTCATCTCCATTCCACCTCCACTTCATTGAATTAACCAAACTGCCATCTTCTCACCTCTCAAAACAACCCAAGAGATCAGAAGGTGACAAAGAAACAAGTTCACTGTTTTGAACAAAGAACTTTATAAAGCGGGAGAGTATTGTGGAACTGGCTCTGAGGGATACCTAAGATTGTGTGGTGGTGCCCAGTCACTTGATTGAAGCAGGTGAGTGTTGGTATTCTTTATCTCCTTTCTCTTATGACAATTTCAGCCGTCAGTCATTTAAAACTTCTCCCTGTTACTTCCACTTGAGCTAGAGCAGCTTCTTGATCTCATCCAAAGATGCTCAATTTATTGAGAAAAAAATATAATTATTCATCATTGTATAATAAATAACCAATTTACTTTACAAATAATTCCAGCTAAATTATTTTATTTGTAAAGGAAATATACTTTTAAAAGATGGAAGAAAAAACCAAAGAGTAAAATTACCTGGCCAGAAAGAAAAAAATAGCCAACAATTTTATGTGACATCACGTCTTTTTAAAGAAAATAAATCCTTTACCAGCCTTTCATAAAAGCCTGTATGTGGGAGCACATGGAAATTTGTTAGACGCTAGATGCTACTTTTGAAAATGAAGAAAGTGAAGACTAACGTTGATTGGCTTTCCTGTTGTGCCCCTAGAGGATAAATATGTAAACACTTTGTATATTTTCCCTTGGTTTTGAGAGGAACACAATACATAGGTCAATAAAGTCAACAACATTTAAATTGTTAAAAGATTTTCCTGGGTCTTTTGGGAATGGTAAAGCAGGATACAGTCTTTTATTCTTATTTCCCTTCATGAAATGTACTCTCTGTTTTTTTTTTTTTTTGGAACACATGATAGTTGCTATGCATATAGATAGCTCCTAACAATGCTGCTCTGACATTTAAGCATTTCACCTTCTATGCAGTACAGCCTGTTTGTCCTTTTAAACTTGGCTGCTGGGCCAAATGCAAAGGAACCACTGTGTGACTTTTCACTTATCTTCTGTACTCAAGCCTACAAAGTTAGTGCTTGAGTGTGTCAGGTATCACCTAGGGACTTAAGAACAAGGCTTTTTACAGTTAACCCAATCCCATGACCTGTACTACATTGCCTTTGATTTGAAGGCAGTTTAGTTAACTACCAAGGCTGCCTACTACATTATTCGGAATCAAATTCACCTGAAATGTAGGCACACAATAATTCCCAGTTTTCTGCAGGATGGATTTAGGCATACTTCATTACATGCTGGAGAGTGTGCCAGTGGGAAACAGTAATGATGTTTTCTTCTTGTACATACTGCTTCAGCAGAGCTGCTTTAAAAAAAATTTCAGAAAAGTTGCAAGAATAAGTATAGTTCAAATATTATCTTTATACTATACTGTTTATTTACCCAGATTCATTTATTTTTTTTTTATCTAATTTACTTTCTCATTGGCTCATTTTTTTGTCTCTCTTATTTCTGCTCTTGCACACACACTTACACATATATTTTGAATCATTTTACATACGTTACATGTATTATGGTCTTGTAACTTTTTTTTGTTTGTTTGTTTTGAGACAGTCTCACTCTATTGTCCAGCTTGTAGTGCAGTAGCTGGCACTATCTTGGCTCACTGCAACCTCTGCCTCCCAGGTTCAAGCAATTCTGCCTCGGCCTCCTGAGTAGCTGGGACTACAGGCATGCACCACCACACCTGGCTAACTTTTGCATTTTTTAAAGTAGAGATGGGGTTTCACCATTTTGGCCAGGCTGGTCGTGAACTCCTGACCTCAAGTGATCCACCTGACTAGGCTTCCCAAAGTGCTGGGGTTAGAGGCATGAGCCACCACACCCGGCCACCTTTTAATTTAAACAGTCTTTTAAAACTTCTCCCTGTTTATTTATGTTGCATGTTCCCTAGAAGGCAATGTAACAACATGGATAAGGGTACAAGTTTTCTGGAAAACCAGCCTGGAGTCAAATCACCAGCTCTACCTCTTACTATGTGACCTTCATCAAGTTTTCAACTTCCCTGTGCCTCAGTTTCTCAGCTGCAAAATTAAGATGATGCTGTAATAATCCCTACTTCATAGAGGTAGAATGAGATAACATTCATGCAAGAATGAAGTTACACAGTGCTGGGATTACAGGCGTGAGCCACTGCACCCGGCCACCTTTTAATACTTCAGGAGATATTTTTTAAGAATAAGGTATGCACTTACATAACTACACTTCATTTAACAGCTTCAGTAATTTTAACATTGATAGAATATATTTATTAAATCTACCATCCATATAATTTCAATTTTGGCAACTGACCCAATACATTTTCTCTCACTTCTAGAGTCTAGTATTACATTTAGTTGTCATATCTCTATAATCATTTTAAAATCCAGAACAATTCCACACCTTTCTTTGCCTTTTATGACAGACATTTTTGAAGCATACAATCTCTTATCTTTTTGTTTTTAAAGATATTTGTTTCTCATTTGACATTTATCTGATGTTAACTTATGATTAGATTCTCATTAGGTGTTCTTGCTCAGAATACTACATAAGTGAAATCGTGGCCTTCTCAGAATATGTCATCGAAGGCACACCATGTCCATATATTCCTCATTGGTAATGTTAGTATTGATCACCCTGTTAGTATGTTGTCTGATGTTACCATTGCATAATATCCAGTTTCCCTTGTAACTGATAAACAATCTGAAGGGAGACAATTTAAGATCATACAAATAATCTGTTCCTCATAAACATTTCTCCCCAGATATGTTACCTATTGATCATTCCTGAATAATCCAACCTTTACTATGATGATTACAAGTGCTGATTTTTCAGCTTCTACACTTCTTCCTCATTTGTGAGTCAGTATTACAATGTACATTAGAGTACTCAGCACTCCTTTCTCTTCTATTTATTTTCTTTTCTATTTATTATAGGTGTGAACTCCTGAATTCCAACCTTTTAGAATTGTTCATAATTCATTAGAGTATGTAATTATTTTTTGCTCCAGTTGTCCCAGATTTGACCTGTGGAATGCCTTCAAGCATCACCCAAGTGTTTGTAACATGCTCCATTATTATATTTAGCACTTCCTTAATTCATGGCGTAACAAGATATTTTAGCTAATTTTGTCTATTTCCTGTACCTCTTGTGGACTCTATCATTTTTTTCAAGGGGAACTTATTCCTTTTAGTGAGAAACAGTAGTAGAGACCAAGATCTGGCACTAGGAGTGCCAAGAGGGCTATTTTTCTTTTTTTGAATTATATGAAGAATTTATTTTTTATTTTTTTATTATTATTATACTTTAAGTTTTAGGGTACATGTGCACAACATGCAAGTTTGTTCCATATGTATACATGTGCCATGTTGCAGTGCTGCACCCATTAACTCATCATTTAGCATTAGGTATATCTCCTAATGCTATCCCTCCCCCCTCCCCCAACCCTAGAACAGTCCCTGGTGTGTGATGTTCCCCTTCCTGTGTCCATGTGTTCTCATTATTCAATTCCCACCTATGAGTGAGAACATGCAGTGTTTGGTTTTTTGTCCTTGCGATAGTTTGCTGAGAATGATGGTTTCCAGCTTCATTCATGTCCCTATAAAGGACATGAACTCATCCTTTTTTATGGCTGCATAGTATTCCATGGTGTATATGTGCTACATTTTCTTAATCCAGTCTATCATTGTTGGACATTTGGGTTGGTTCCAAGTCTTTGCTATTGTGAATAGTGCCACAATAAACATACGTGTGCATGTGTCTTTATAGCAGCATGATTTATAATCCTTTGGGTATATACCCAGTAATGTGATGGCTGGGTCAAATGGTATTTCTAGTTCTAGATCCCTAGGAATCGCCACACCGACTTCCACAATGGTTGAACTAGTTTACAGTCCCACCAACAGTGTAAAAGTGTTCCTGTTTCTCCACATCCTCTCCAGCACCTGTTGTTTCCTGAATTTTTCGTGATCGCCATTCTAACTGGTGTGAGAGGGTATCTCATTGTGGTTTTGATTTGCATTTCTCTGATGGCCAGTGATGGTGAGCATTTTTTCATGTGTTTTTTGGCTGCATAAATTTCTTCTTTTGAGAAGTGTCTGTTCATATCCTTCGCCCACTTTTTGATGGGGTTGTTTGTTTTTTTCTTGTAAATTTGTTTGAGTTCATTGTAGATTCTGGATATTAGCCCTTTGTCAGATGAGTAGGTTGCAAAAATGTTCTCCCATTTTGTAGGTTGCCTGTTCACTCTGATGGTGGTTTCTTTTGCTGTGCAGAAGCTCTTTAGTTTAATTAGATCCCATTTGTCAATTTTGGCTTTTGTTGCCATTGCTTTTGGTGTTTTAGACATGAAGTCCTTGCCCATGCCTATGTCCTCAATGGTATTGCCTAGATTTTCTTCTAGGGTTTTTATGGTTTTAGGTCTAACATTTAAGTCTTTAATCCATCTTGAATTGATTTTTGTATAAGGTGTAAGGAAGGGATCCAGCTTCAGCTTTCTCCATATGGCTAGCCAGTTTTCCCAGCACCATTTATTAAATAGGGAATCCTTTCCCCATTGCTTGTTTTTCTCAGGTTTGTCAAAGATCAGATAGTTGTAGATATGCGGCATTATTTCTGAAGGCTCTGTTCTGTTCCATTGATCTATATCTCTGTTTTGGTACCAGTATCATGCTGTTTTGGTTACTGTAGTCTTGTAGTATAGTTTGAAGTCAGGTAGTGTGATGCCTCCAGCTTTGTTCTTTTGGCTTAGGATTGACTTGGCAATGCAGGCTGTTTTTTGGTTCCACATGAACTTTAAAGTAGTTTTTTCCAATTCTGTGAAGAAAGTCATTGGTAGCTTGATGGGGATGGCATTGAATCTATAAATTACCTTGGGCAGTATGGCCATTTTCACGATATTGATTCTTCCTACCCATGAGCATGGAATGTTCTTCCATTTGTTTGTATCCCAAGAGGGCTATTTTTAAGACTAATAAGAAGAAAGATATCCTGAGATTTCACTTAAGATATTATTCAATTATTTAAACTTGATTATTCTGAATGTTTAGAAGAATTAGATTTTAAAGTATTGAGGCAGGCAGAAATGACAGTTAATTAGAATGTTTTTGATTGCTTTGTTTAATCTTTGTAAAGCAATATGGACAAGAAGAAGAGTTCAGCTCTAGCAGCCTAGGTTTCCTTTACTGCTATGGTATAGCCATCATTAAGAAGCTTGTTTTTCAAGTAGTGTTGTCAAATTATTGATTTGGTTTTGGCAATGTCCATTAATGTTGGCACACAGGAAACATGAGTACATTTAGAAGTGATGTCATTCTCATCACAGGGTTCTGTCTTCAGTGGGTCCCAGCAGTGGAATGAATATCAGCAGCACAGGACTCCTGTGGCGCATCCTACAGTGCTGCAAATGTACAGAGGGTGAACAGGATTCTTGCTTTCAAGGTAATTTCCCCAAGTCCTTAGATCCAATTTGACTTTAAAATATACATTTCCTTTTTCTGGCCAAAGCTCTTAATTTGATTCTTAAAAAAGTCTGCTTCAGTAGTAGATTTTCCTCTCTAGAGAGATATTCCAGTACCTTCCTAAGGAAATCTGGCTTATTTTGAATTTGAATGTTTTATTGAGAATTATAAATGAAGGTCCTTTTCAGCCTCAGGCAATAACCCAGAGTTATTAGGCATTATGATAATGCCTTTCCTCATATGAATACTGTTAGTCATGTAACTAATAGTAGGCTTCTAATGTTAAGATTATAAATTCATACTAATTCAGATTATAACAAAGTTATAAATGCCACCCTGGATTACTAAAAGCAAATAGATACTGACTTTAAATGTACAGTATCAATTAATCTTATATGCACTATAACATGATTAGAGTACAAAGAGCAATGAACAATTTGCCATATAATCATAATGCAAAGTTGATGAGCTAAATTAAAATACCATAAATATAAATACATTCACAAAACCACAGTTGAATATACATAACCCTCATTTCCTGGGAAACACGATCTTTAATAAATAGTTGAGTTCCCCAATGGACTATAAATCAGGGGGGAGAAATCAAGGCACATAACATACCATGTTATGAAAAGAGTCTAGAAAATAAGATGACCCGTGCATGGGCTTCTTATTCCTGTTGGGATTGATTTGGGGAAGTTTCTCAAATCAGTCCAAGAATCAAGGAAAGTCTTAACCAATAACTGTACAGTTGTATTAAAAGTGAATGAGAAATATATAACAGATAAATCAAAATTGTGTAGGTTTTAGAATAGACACTATTTAGACATCAAATATTTTAAGTTTTAAAAATGTGATAAATGCCGTCTAATAATTTCGATGTGTGTCTTTAAAAATATTGATATTAGAAGTTTTCAGATTCTTGCTTGCTCATTGTTTTTAATCACCACCTATTTAGCATTTTAAAATCAAATCTTTGAAGTAGAACAGGTTTCTTGTTTAATAACAATTTAAATTGCACTTCAGTGCAGATGTGCTTCCTCTAAACACACTATGACTAATTAAATATATTACCAAGCTATCATGTGTTATGGCAGAGACTGTTTTTCAAAGATGGTACTATGGTTTGAATGCATGTATCCCTCCAAAATTCATATGTTGAACCCTGATCACCAAGGTGATGATATAAGAAGGGTGGGACCTTTGGGAGGTGATTAGGATATGAAGGCTCTGCCCTCAAGAATAGCAAGAATACACTTATGCAAGGGCTGGAAGGAACTAACGAGGCTCTTTTGCCCTTCCATGCCTTCTACCATGTGAGGACACAGTGCTTGTTTCCTCTGGAGGACGCAGCCAGCAATAAGGCACCATCTTGGAAGTAGGGTGAGTCCTCACCAGATGCTGAATCTGCCGTCACCTTGATCTTGGACTTCCCAGCCTGCAGAACTGTGAGAAACACATTTCTATTATTTATAAATTACCCAGTCTCAGATATTTTGTGATAGCAGCACAAGTGGACAAAGACAGATGGCCGCAAGAATATTACTCATTCCGCTGTCCTTCTGAACAACCTGACACTCCCCTATCAAGAGGTGGTATGTGTTTCTCTACCTTCTTAAATATGGCAGTGTTCACGACTGCTTTGAGCATTAGAGTATGGGAGAAATGATGCTATGCCATTTCTGGTATAGCCTTTGAGTGGCCTAGCAGTTTCTCCCTCTTCAAAAACCATCTACCATGTAAAAAGTGACTACCCTGAGACTATTGTGTTGTGGAAGCCCAAATCACATGGAGAGGCTCTGCAGGATGAAAACGTATGTGAAGAGAGAGAGCATGTTGCTACAAGGTACAAAAAAATGTAAATAAATATGCCATCTTGTGGCAACAATAGGCACTAGGGACTACTAGAGGGGAAAGGGAGTGAGAGAGAAAGGGTTGAAAAGTAATTATTGAGTACTGTGCTCAGTACCTGGGTTATGGGATCAATCAACCTTATACCAAGCCTCAGCCTCACACAATATACCCAAGTAACAAACCTGCACATATACCCCCTGAAATCTAAAATAAAAATTGAAATTATTAGAAAAAATAGATGCCATCTTGGAAGAGGATTCTCCATCCCCAACCACCATAGCTATAACAGAAACCATATAGATCAGATATAAACTGCCCTGCAGAGCCCTTTCCAAATTTCTGTTCCACAAAATTGTGAGCAAAATAAAAGTGTTGCTTTAAGTGACTAAGTTTTGAGCTAGTTTCCTTTCCTTTTCTTTTCCTTTCCTTTCTTTTCTTTCCTTTTCTTTTGTTTTCTCTTCTCTCTTCTTTTCTTTTCTCCCCTCCCCTCCCTTCCCTCTCTTCCTTGCCTTCCCTTCCCTTCCCTTCCACAGGGTCTCACTCTGCCACCCAGGCTGGAGTACAGTGGTGTGATCAGAGCTCACTGTAGCCTTGAATGTCTAGGTTCAAGTGATCCTCCTATCTTAGCCTCCTGAATAGCTAGAACTCCAGGTGCATGTCACCTGGCTATTTTTTTTAAAATTTTTTTATAGTTGGGTCTTGCTACGTTGCCCAAGCTGGTCTCAAACTCCTGGCCTCAAGTAATCTTCCTGTCTTCAGCTCCCAAATTGCTGGATTACAGGAGTGAGCTACCACACCTGGCCTTGGGCTAGTTTCTTAAGCCATAGGATGTAACCAAAACAAATATTGACCAAATATAAATTTAATAGAAGGGCTCCAAACTGTATGTTTTGGTTCTTCCCTATGTGACAGTGCCAGGCAATGTCCTGAGTGCTGGTGATAAAGACCGAAAAGATAAACGTTATCTGGTCCTTGCTACCCAGCAAGCAAGACACGTAAACAACTATCTATGATAAACATGACAAGTGCAATAATAAACTAATATGAGACCATAAAAATAATAATTAATTTTTCTTCCATTAGAAATTAGGCACTACAAAGACAGAGGTATTTTATCTGTTTGGTTCACACCAAATGCCAAGAACAGTGCCTGTTATGTAGCAGATGATTAATATTTGTTGGATGAACAAATGGCTGAATGAGTGAGGGAGATGATGGGCATGTGAACTGTAATGTTTGGAAATAACTCCTGAAATAATTGAGAAAAGAGGTGATATTTTAACGAGATTTGGAAGAATGCCTAGATTTTCTTTAGGAGAGATAGAAGGAGGAGAGAGTAGATAAAACATGAGTGGAAAATGGGATAGTCTATCATCTGCCATTTAATGCCACTTCATGGTCAGCAACTAAGACTGTTAGAGCAGTAAGGGTGGACTGAGATTCACTAGTCAGTCAGCCTGTAATTTGAAAAAATTGTGGCATCCCACCCAAAACTACATCAAATGATTAGTATGATCCTGATGAATGTTAGGGCTTTAGATGGATGAATACCATGATTGAAGTAATCCTCTAACACATCCAGGATCTCAGGAATCTCTCAGATCCAAGGATAATAGATCCAGAATTAATTATTTGAAGCCATTGGCTACATTTCACTGAAGTTTTAAATCCTTGCGTTTGTTTTATGATCAACATAGTCTCTACATTGGCGGTAAATGGGAATCTCATCCTGTTTATCAGCTACCATTTAGATATAAAGTAAGGTAACGCTTACATTTTGTTTTATATTTGAGAAGGCCAAAAAGACCATTAGTTTTGTTTTGTTTTGTTTTAGATTGGGTCGCACTATGTTGCCCAGGCTGGTCCTGAATTCCTGGGCTCAAGTGGTCCTGCCCCCTCAGCTTCATGAGTAGCTGGGATTATAGGTGTGTGCTGCCATGACCGTTAGTCTTAATGACTAAACATATTAGTTTTCAATGATTGCCTGTGATTTTTAGAAGGATGCTGAAAATCTCATATCTGTTCTCAATCATTAATTTACTGATTTACTTATTCATATTTTCTGTGCAATATTTGAAAACATGTCAGCATAGTAACAATCTTTAAAGGTTTTGATCCATATTAAAATAAAAAAAGGTAAAAATATGAGCCTCTTCAGTTATTAACGATACATTGATCCTTTAATGCATTTTAGACAGTTCTATCCTTTGTTATTCACCGGTACTTCAGTGCTTTTGAAGAGTACTATGCCAAATACCCAGGAAATAAGAGGAAGAAAGTAGAAAATATAGATTCTGTCTATGGAGAATTTGAAGTAAAAAAACAGACTCAGACTAAGTCCAAATAAATGCATGCAATCACAAATGAACACAATAAATATACATTAAATAAACTGTGAGTGTACCAGTATAGTTATTTCTGTGCCACTGACAGGATTAGAGTTGTTCTAGGAGGGAACATTGCTTCTAGGCCCACTTGAAAATAATGAAAGGATGATCTATTTCTGCCACTTTATGGGAAGTGGTTAAGGACATTAGGGACTTACGAGTACAGGAGCCACAGTATTCTCAAATAGAACTCAAGAGTAAAGTTGGCCATTTACTACTAAATGTTGAAACAAATTAATAAAACATTTATTTATTTATTTTTCTTTTAAGCTTCATTAGTGAAGGAGTATAATCTATTTTTAAGAAATTTCTGGGCCGGGCACAGTGGCTCACGCCTGTAATCCCAGCACTACTGCGCACCAGCCTGGGCGACAGAGCGAGACTCCGTCTCAAAAAAAAAAAAAAAAAAAAAAAAGAAATTTCTGGTAAACATTTTTGCATAAATCATCTCTCTTTCTGATAATAGCCATATTCTCTTCTGCAACTTAATTAAAAGTACTAATGAGCTAGGTATCATTGATAAGTAGTTTTTTTTACAGGCCAAGATTTAAATAGTCAAAATTGATGGTGCTTGACCCCTGTGATGGTTAATTTCATGAGTCAAAATGACTGGGCTATGGGATATCCAGATACCTGGTAAAACATTATGTCTGAGTGGGACTATAAGAATGTTTCTGGAAGATATTAGCATTTGAATTGGTGAACTGAGTAAAGCTGATGGCCCCCCACCAATGTAGGTCAGCACCATTGAATCTGTTCAGAACCTGAATAGAACAAAAAGGTAGACAAAGCTTCAATTCGTTCTCTGCCTAACTACTTGAGCTGGAACATTGCTCTTCTGCTTTCAGTGCTCATGGCTCTCAGGCCTTTGGAGTACCTCGCCAGCTTTCCTGGGTCTCTAGCTTGCACACAGCAGATTATAAGACTTTTCATTATCCATATTTGTGTGAGCCAATTCCTTATAATACATTTCATTTTCTTTTTGTTATCTCTCTTCTATCTATACCCCCCACTCTCTTTCTCTCTCTCTCTCTGTCTCTCCTATTGGTTGTGTTTCTCTGGAGAACCCTAATATAATCCCTAACTCTGAATCACTCCCAGGTATCATTGCTAAAATGTCCTTCAAGCAAGAACTTGGAAGGCAATATATATATCACGTCATGTTATAACAGATAATCACTAAGATAAAATTTTGTATTACCCTCCTGATGGCTATTATAGTCAGCAGGTGACTTGATTCAACTCTTAAACAGGTCTAGACTATAGAACCAACTGCCTTATGGCTGTGATAGCTGTTTAGGGCAGTTACTCATTCATTGATATTTGGTATGAGTCCCACTACTGTTAGGCAACAGGTGTTGGTTCCATAATCTCTGCACAAGAGTCAACAAACTTATTTTATCACAGCCAGTGGATTCTGTGGTTGGGTAAAACTTTATAATGTTCATGACACTGATTAGAAGCCATCAGAGCATTTCTGAACATATTTTTTCAATGAGAACAGCCAACATTTCTTGAATACTATGTGCCATAGTGCTAGAAATTTTATAAGTAATATCTAATTTAATCCCTACAGCAATCCTATAATTATCATTGCTATCTCTGTTTCATAAAAGAAAAACTGAGGCATAATCATACAATTGTTATAGCTGAATAGTAATTCAAATCCAGGTTTGACTACAACATATGTATTTTTTTAACCACTGTTAAAATATGTAAACTTGTTTACATCAGGCATTAAACAAACATCAGTATAGTGTTTTTAGGAGATTAGAGCTGCACATGATATGCAGCTTGTTGAACATTTGATATTAGTGATAGAATTATTAACTTAAGTTGAATGAAAAGGAAACAAAATTACAATTCTCAGTTGTGATTTGCATGAACTACTTACGACAATTATAAACAAGCAAACCTTGATATATCTGTCAACATGTGTTGTCAACACATATTTTAATCACATAATATTAAACATAAAAATTCTATGATATTCACAGCAATGTTTCAAATAATGGAACTCCAGAGAAACTTATCAAAAGTATGTAATAACTGATGGAATTAGTTTTCTATTGCCCAGCCAAGATTATAAAAAATATGAATCAGAATGCTGCCTTTAAAATCACAATATTAGCATGAAGAAGTTGAATGGACTTAAAAAAAAGAGCAGGCTTTAAAAAAGAGAAACAAAAATACAGTTCAAATATCTGAAAAAAAAATACCTGGTAATGGGCAATTTCAAATAAAATAGACTTGTCATAAAGGTCAATTGTAAAGAAATTTCGGAAGCTGGTTATAAAATTAAAAGCATTATAAACATGAATTAAATATTTTCTAACATCAGATACATAAGTATAAATCCATGTACAATCTGATTTATTATAAAATCTTACTGTGTGACACCAATAAAACCATTCTATATCAAAAGGGACAAACCCTAGTACTTCCCCCATTTGCCATGTGTTGCAGGCAGTTTCACGCACCTGTTGTGGGTGTGTTTTCATCACTAAAGCAGAAAATTCATGTATAGAAAAGCCATTATAAATACAATTTATCTAGAATTTAAAACCTTTTGCATACATTTCTGGTATTAGGATAGCTAAGTCAAAACAAAAATGCTACACAAAAATGAAAAAGTATAACTTTGCAAATAATTGGAGGAGTGGTTCTATAAGTGTCATATAGAAATTTATCACTATGTGTACAAATATCAGACATTAATAGATGATGAATAATTTAGTAATGTTCAATAGTTCTGCTTCACAAGAAATGCAAACATGTGAATTTAGACTAAAATTTATAACAACAAAGTCTTTGCTATGTATGTAGAAGCGTAACATCTTGCCTCAACACTTAATTAAACTAAACATACTCTTAAATATTAAATAAATTAAAAATGAAAATGTATGGGGAAATAGTAAAATGCTAAGAAAATGTCTAAGAGTTGCCAACAATGAACAGTACCATCCCAAAATAAATGCTACTACCATTTCTGACACAGCCTGGATAAGAATCTCAACCTCTCAAAGGTTCATTTTAATTACAAGAAGGCGGAATAAAATTGTTTACTTTTCTATGGAAGGTACTAAGAGACTTTCTTACCATTTTTTCTAAAATTTTATGATGTCTTGCTCTTTTTAACAGGATTTTAATATTGATTAATTTTATATTTTGACGTTATTCTTCCAGATACATATTTGAAGAATTTTATTGATATTGGGGAAGGGGAGATCTTTGCTGAAATCAGGAAAGGAGAGCCTTTTCAGTTGTGGGAGAATTATTTGAAGTGTCAGCCCCCAAAGAATAAAACTATTGTCATTTTTGTTCCTCCCAGTCTCTTGCTCTTTGGGGATTGTTTCTCTTTTAATTTATTGCTCTGTGTTCTAAAAAGTAAAGAGAGATTACAAACTACATTTTAAAAGTGTATTAAATATAACTTATGGTAAATTAGTAATACCTCTTGAAAAATCCTGCTATGAGCTCTCTCATGGTGCTTCCTTTGGGGGAAGATAACTCAATTGTGTTGATTTAAAGGTTCTGTCTAGTTCTTTTAAACATTCCTTTGATGTTGTATTGCTCAGCTTGTAATAGACTGTTATTGCCCTATATTGAGTTTGCAGAGTGAAGGTAAATCTTTCGTGATATGATTGTGCTACTGCAAACTCAATATTGTTCACAGGGCCTTTATAACTCTCAGTTACATTGCAGCAGAATAGCACACATTTTCATTTTTACCTTTTTATATTTTTATTCTTTGTTCTGAAACTGAAAGTATGTATGCTTACATACACTCTATAGAGCTTGTTCTGTGGAGCGGTAACTCATAAGCAAAGAGAACATTGTCGAGTGGGTATTTTTTCTGAAACTGTCGGTTTTATTGTTAATCTTTTTCTTTATATTCCATTAGATACTCTACTATGTTATTGAAAAGGTATCACTACTGGGGAAACCTCAACTCAAAAATCTACCCAAGTTCTAGTTTGAACTGTTTACTAAGACTACATAACAACACTATTAAAAGAGTCTCCTGAGGAGCCCTGGCCTGCCCTGAAACTCAGGTAAATGTAATTTCCCCTGGTGGTAGATCACAAGGTAAGACCTAGGTGACCAGAAGTATTAGCAAAGATGATTGGGCTGTTTCACTGAAAATGGAAACGTTCTTTATGTAATGGCTTAAGTTATTATTTGCTTCTTTTGTTAAATTTCTTAGAAAAAAATCTAGTATTTTTCACTGGAGCAGCATTCAACTCATTGTTTAAAACTGCTGGTGAAGCAAAGTAGCCCTAAAGCTATGTTTTATGCATTCGTTTTACTTCTTGGCATGTGCCCTCTGATTATTCTTTTTTCCTTTTATTTTAAAGGATATGATCACAGTTTTGGAACAATTACTAGTTGATCAAAAATTTTGAGATAATAAAGAATATCCATAATGTAAGGAGGTATTTACTATGCTACAGTAGACTGGATTTTAAATAACCACATGCATTGAGTATATTCTTTTTTTTTTTTTTTTCGAGACAGAGTCTCGCTCTGTCGCCCAGGCTGGAGTTCAGTGGCGTGATCTAGGTTCGCTGCAACCTCCACGTCTGGATTGGGTTCAAGCAATTCTCCTGCCTCAGCCACTTGAGTAGCTGGAACTACAGGCGTGTGCCACCATGCCCAGCTAATTTTTTTGTATTATTATTATTTGTATATATATTTTTTTGAGACAGAGTCCCACTCTGTCGCCCAGGCTGGAGTGCAGTGGCGCCATCTCAGCTCACTGCAAGCTCCCCCTCCTGGGTTCACGCCATTCTCCTGCCTCAGCCTCCCGAGTAGCTGGGACTACAGGCGCTTGCCACCATGCCTGGCTAATTTTTTTGTATTTTTATTAGAGATGGGGTTTCACTGTGTTAGCCAGGATGGTCTTGATCTCCTGACTTCGTGATCTGCCTGCCTTGGCCTCCCAAAGTGCTGGGATTACAGGTGGGAGCCACTGCGCCTGGCCATTTTTTTGTATTTTTAGCAGAGACAGGGTTTCATCATGTTGGCCAAGCTAGTCTCGAACTCCTTACCTCAGGTGATCTGCCCGCCTCAGCCTCCCAAAGTACTGGGATTACAGGTGTGAGCCACTGTGCCCGGCTATCATTGAGTATATTCTTCTAAGGTAGCCTAATAATTATATAATTATTGTTCTGGAAAGGTCAACATTTCCTCTGCTACAAAAACTTTTTTATTATTTTCTCCCCAGCTAGTAAAAACAAACAAAATCAGCAGTCTTCAATCCGTAGGGATTGATAAATGTTAGTTATACTGGCAAATGTCTATTGTATTTGCATGTCTGATTATCTTCTTTCCATTTTCCCCTTCTTGTTATTTCCTCTCTTCAATCTGGGCCTTTTACAAGTGAAAGTCCTAAGAGCTCTACAATAATTTATGAAGAAAATCAAAGACACAATTTACTGAAAGAAACTTTCTGTGGTTTTGCTTAATATGTATAATTTTTAATGAATATATATTGCTCAACGAGAACGAGGTTCATGATTAAAACTAGAACTCCTTAGTTGGATGGAATCTTAGAGCACATCAGACCCGGAGGTTGCAAATGGATAGCCGTTGGGCCATATATGGGCATATATGTCTTTTATTTGATCCATACAAAGCTTAAGTTTTCTTTTTCTTAAATCGGGTGCTAGCATTTAAAAATTGAAGTTTTATCTTAGAATATGGATTTCCACCTTCTTTAGGGAGCTCTGGATAACACTGAGCCAGCATTCTCACAAAGGATGTCTCCTTAGATGGCTTGTGCACTCTTCTGTTGGCCACAGTCCTCACGTGGGCGACTTCATTCCTTTTCATTACTGTTGGAATCTGAGATCGTGGCATCTGTCTCCAGTCTAATTCCTTCAAGTTCTTCAACCTCTTCACTTTATTCACACTGGCCCCCCTTTTGGTCATGCCTGTTGCTTAAATCCTTAAACCTCAAATAGCACTTTCCCCTCACAGCTTTTTTTAGTCACTCATCAATTCATAGGAATTTCTCCTGCTCTAATTTTTCCTCTACCGCTTGTTAGTTGCACACAATGTGCCTTGAGTTATATTGATTGTATTTTCATCTTGCTGCCCCAAAAGTTGTGAATGCTTGGAGGGCAGGGCCCATTTTTGCAACTCACACAGTGACTTCCAGCACAATACCCTGTACTTAGTAAGTTCTCAAAACATGTTTGTGGAGTTAAATTTAATGAATTAACTTGACCTTCATCACGAGGGGAAAGAGGACAAGAATCCTGGCGGCTTTAACCCCTGCTTTATGTCTTTCCATTTTTTGTTTAATATATTCTGCCAAACATTGCATTCCTTTTTTTTTTTTTTTTGAGAAAGAGTCTGTCTGTGCCAAGGCTAGAGTGTAGTGGTGCAATCTTGGCTCACTACAACTTCCGCCTCCTGGGTTCAAGGATTCTCCTGCCTCAGCCTCTCAAGTAGCTGGGATTACAGGCACACGCCACCACACCTGGCTAATTTTTGTGTTTTTAGCAGAGACGGGCTTTCACCATGTTGGCCAGGCTGGTCTTGAACTCCTGACGTCAAGTGAGCTGCTGCCTCAGCCTCCCAAAATGCTGGAATTACAGGCGTGAGCTACCGTGCCTAGCTCAAACATGTATTAGTAAAACATGAGAAAGTTCCTCCCCTACCTTGACATCCTGAGGCTTTCATCAATGCATCCTTCATTCATGTGCCTTAGGTGCTCAGAAGCTCACACACAGGTTTTGTGATTACTTGGGATACTTTCCTGAATCTGGGTTTCTGATCTAATAATTCTTGTCTTTCTTTATTATTTGATTTTTATCTATACCTTAGTAATTTTTGAGTCTATTTATTTAGGAAGCAAAACCCACAGAGGTGTTGTGAAGACTGAGTGAAATACAAGTGAAGCTCCTTTTATGGCTCACAATAGCTGGTGGGCCTGACTTAATTGCATTTTGTTCTGTAGTTTTAATTTTAAACCAGTTATATCTCCTTTTCCTCTTACCCTCTTATTTGGAAAGAAGATAAATACATGTAATAAGAAAGAAATTATAAAAGATAAAGAAAGGAAATCTGACCAACTGTTACTTGTATGAAGATGGGGCTAAATCTTGAGCAATTAAATCCACAGCATGTGTGTATATATAAAAAAAAGTAATTTCATATATGGTTAAAGTATGGTTTTTACTGTTAAGTTATTGAAATTTAAACTTTCTATCCAAGTGGTCAAGGAAATAAAATAGGAGGATCAAAGTGCAAAATCCCTTAAATGGATAACTGAGGGTAGATTATAACTATCATTCACTTCAATAATTGTAAAATGGGCTGTTAAATCACAGCTTAAAACTCTTTGGCCAATACCACTGAAAAAGAATTTGCTTCATTCCCACATTTTCTCTCTATACATTATCTGTTCACAATTTAGCATCATTTCCCCTCTTTTATCTTCACCTTTGTATGAGGGTGACAGGACCTTTGGGAAGTACATTCCGACAATCCCTGCCAGTTATGCTCTGGGTCCGATCCTGCTAGGGGATGCATTCGTGTCAAGATCTGCAAAGTGAAAGGGAAGTGGAAGCTGTGTTTTTCTTTCTCTGGCAGCAGCAGGCAGACATGTGTGCTTCCATAGATATGAGGTTTTGCAGCAGCCTCTGAACTATTTTTTCTAAAAGTTACTTGACTTTTCTGATTGAAATATCTAGAGCAGTTTCTGCTTTCCTAGATATTTACCTGATTGATTGGACTTCTACTGACACACTTTAAGAAGGAAATAGCCAGCAGAGTACCATTTAGTAAATTTACTTGTGACTTTGACACAGTCAAATACTTAAAATCAGACAACCAACTAGAACATGGTATGAATGAATATCTCCAGAATAAAAAAAGTGTATCTTCTCCAAAAGTTTTTCTTTAGGAGAAAGGAAAAGATATCACAGGTTTTCATTAGATCAGTTATAAGAAGAATATATTTTATTTTTATATAAGAAACTGTTTACAAGATAAATAATGTTTTGAAAAAATAACAGGCTATGTTTAACTGACAAAAATATTCAGGATAAAAATATTTTAAAGGTACAATGAAAAACTATAAATATTTCCTACCTCTAACTTAAATTCAACAGTTACCAAAATGTTCTCTACATCATAAGTATTTAGTAAATATTTACTGATTTATATGTGAAGAAAAAAAACTGCCTTATTTCTTTTCAATGAAATCTGGTGCATATGAACAATATTTCTTATGTGGAATAATTTAAAAGATATTTGGTATTTGGCTTTGTGGAGTATAATCAATGCACTGAGCACTATGACAAATCTATAATTGGCCTTGGTTCCTGCTCAGTAGATAAGGTAAATGACAAATTAGAATTTTCTTTTTGCTTTAGGCTAGCTAGAATTTCAGGAAAATTGCTCCTGCAAACTTATTTTAATCAACCTGAAACACAGTAAGTAAATTTACTACAGCTTAGTTAGAACTGTGTATTGTGAAGGGTTAGCACATTGAGGTCTGCTATTGTAAGTTAGAGAATTAGTAATACTCCCATGAGCCCACCCTTCAAAATTGCTCCCCGTCTGTAAGACAGAGCTGTCTTGATTGGAATTCAAAGTAATTCTTCTATAGAAAGATGGTAAGTTACAGCCAATTGCATGCTCTTTCTCTGCTATATTTTTAATTGTGCTAGATTCTTGTTGCCTGCTAGATTTCTTGCATCCGGTACTTTGACTGTCTCTCTTCTTTCAGATGAATGGATTCAGGTTGGTTTTGTGCAGGTTTGTGTGTCTTTTGTGAGATGCTGCTTTGTGCTGGTTAACATGATTTGCCTGTCATTTCATCTTACTTTTTAAACAACAATTTTATCAAGGTAAACTAAAAAAGTTAAGAAAATAGCATCATATAGAATAGTAAAAATAAGTTGTTTTAGAAAAAGAATGAACTGATAATACATAATAAACCAATTTGGATGTATGGTGAAAGCCACTGGTAAATTGAGGTAATTTATGAATACCTCATAAAATTGACATAAATTTTATTGGCCATCAGCAAATTTTCTAAAAAATGTTTGTTCTTAGTTTTCAATATGGTATAGCACAGATGAATGGGAAAGGAAAAGATTTTATGCCTTATGCCAATTTTTCTAAAAAATCTTTTCCTTTCCCATTCATCTGTGCTACACCATATTGAAAACTAAGTACATAGAACTAAAAGCAGAAGAATAACATCTTGAATTACCTTAATCTAACTAATAAGAAATCTGAAAAATACAATTGACTAAAAAAACTTAGAAAATCAAAGTTGCTGCAACTAGATTTTTCTTCCAATTTTCAGAAAATCACAAAGTATTATTTCATAATAACATTTTAAATGAAGAGAGACATAAAATGTAGATTAAATATGAAAAACTAATTATAGTATATTCCTTTTAGTAGTGCCCTGCTCACCCCACCCCTTTAAAGAAAATCTCCTAAAGCAGCAACAAAAAAAATCTACATTTAAATCTTTAGACTTAATTGTATTTAAATCCTAAAAATTAAATAAGCATGAAAAATAAATAGAAGCATAATAACATAGACAAACAAAAAAGTAAGGAAAGAAAATTAGAAAAAAATAGTCTATAAAAGTCTTATTACAAAGATAAAATCCTAAAATATAAGTAAAAGTCAATCTCACGATGTCTCTCGGTGAAAATAAATAATAAAAAGAAACCAGACAAATGGTTAATTTTATTGGGCAGAACAAAATATCAGATTTTAGAGTAGTTAAATTAATGCATTGCTACATTAATGTAATATGTAATTTTATTATGTGCAAGAGTCTGTGTTATGAACTTCAAGGAAGCCTCAAATGAATTGAAAAGGTCAAGAAGTTTACAGTTCAGTTTGGGCATGGTGGCTATGCCTATAGTCCCAGTACTTTAAGAGGCCTAGACTGGAGAATTGCTTGAGGCCAGGAGTTCTAGACCAGCCTGGGCAACATAGCGAGACTCCATCTCTATCAAAAACAAACAAAAATGGTTATCAGATGTGGTGGTGCCTGTGGTCCCAGCTACTCAGTAGTCTGAGGTAGGAGGATCCCTTGAGCCCAGGAGTTCGACGTTGCAGTGAGCTATGATCATACCACTGCACTACAGCCTGGTGACACAGCAAGACCCTGTCTTTTTTTTTAAAAAAAAAAAAGTTTACAGTTTAATATAAAATGAAAAACATGTTCAAAAGTGAGTTAGATTATAACATTAAGCATAATTTTTTAATGATGAATTTTGTTATAGGATAAAAATAATGAAGAAAAGTTTTAATTCTTCAGAAGTTTTTAATTACATTGATATATGCTTCAAATGTAGACAAACATAAGCCTTGGCAATGGCATCTATTCATATATCTCTATTCAATTCAACTCAATCCAATTCAATCAAATCATTCATTCATTTACTTAGTTAAGTAATCATTTCATTATGCACAAAATATATGTTGAATATTTACTATTGCTGGCTACCTTGTAGGTGCTGAGAATAAATGGGTTGAGTAAAACAGACCTAACTACTCATCATGGAACTTATAATCTAATGATAGAGAGAAGATAGTAATCAGATAGTAATCAAATGGTAATATAGATAAACATATACTTTCAAAACTTGATCGAGCTCTGAATTAGCCACATAGATGCTGTGAAGTATATGTCAGGAGGATCTGATGTGCATAGAAGTGAGGGTAAAGGAAAAGGTCATAAAGGATGGAGAAGTTGAGGGACTGAGAGGTCCAGGGATTGAATTTACCTTGTATATCGGAAAGGATTAGAGTGAGGAAGACAGTAGCCAGCTATCAAAGTCTTCAGTGGATGAGGAGTGCTCAGAAGACAGACAGGCTGAATGGCATGAATCTGAAAGCTACTGGGTTTTGTTTGCTTTGATTAGCTCATGGGTTTTATATTGTTCTTAAAAAGAAAATAGAGGAGTGATGGTCTAAAAGTTGTATCAGGGAAGTAGGGGACACCAGTCCTAATTATGAGGTGTGAGGGATTTAAGAGATTAAAAAGCCACAATCAGAGTTGTGGTGGCTATGAGAATGTGCCTTGCAGACCCCAACTGCTGGCAGATTAATTAACCAAGGGTCTGAGCTACTGGGCTCTGGCATCAAGGCCAGGCTTCCTATAGGCTGCCCCCAGCGCTGATGGAGTGCAGCAGAAATACTAAGGCAAGACAACTTAAGAGAGACATGGGCCTACCATGATGGCTAATTTTGGTTCAAGGACTTGCTGATGGCCTTGTTAACCCCACCTTGGTCTGTACAACAGTCTTGTATGCTTCCATTCCAACCCTCCCCTTCTGTCTCCTCCACTCTGTGTCAGACTTGCAGCACAGTATCATGGCTCTCCTAGCCTTTGCTGGATCCCTCTTCATTTTCTCTCATACAAGCTATTTAGGTCTGTTTTCTGTTGCTATAATAAAATACCTGAGACTGGATAATTTATAAAGAAAAGAGGTTTATTTAGTTTAGGGTTCTGGAGGCTGGGAAGTTCAAGACCAGGCAGCATCTAGTGAGGACCTTGTGCTTCTTCATATCACGGCAGAAAAAATGGACATGGAAGTTGGTATATGCAGAAAGGGTAAAGCATGAGAGGCAAGCTCACTTTATAACAACTTTTGAGAACTAACCCAGATTCTTGAGAAATACATTAATTCATCTTAATGACCTAATCTCCTAATGGCACCACCTCCCAACACTGCCACATTGGGGACCAAGCCTCAGCATGAGTTTTGGTGGGGACATACCATATTCAAACCATAGTACAAGCATTATCCCTAAGAAAATCTTTGGTTTTTGACCACATCTTAAAATATGTTTTTAAGAAAAAAAAAACAGACTAACACAAGAATATGTTAAAGGGGAAGTGCTTCAGTTCAAGCAAAGAAGTTCAGAAAATGCACAGACAGTAAGCTAGAGGGGACTTGCTGATTGTGGATGAACAATTCTTAAAGGTGGTGGGTGTAGGGTTGAGAAGGACATATTTTCTAAAACTAGCATCTTTTGAGTCATTTTTTAAAAGGTAGTTTGTGTACATATTGACATTTATGAAGTCTATAGCTTCTTTTTACTTTCTCCCTCACCGACAAGTGGGGAAGGTCCTCCCATTCTTCACCAGGCACCACTTCCAAAGTCATTCTTCCCTTTCCTTTATGTATAACAGAGAGAAATCTTACCACCACCCGCTTCTGTTGGTCTTTCAAATTTATTAGTGTATGGACTAATGTATTATTGTAGGGCCAGGAGTAGGATGAAGCAGACAAGGCATCTAGAGTGTACAACTTAAGGAAGCAAGGCCTCACAAATGCCAGCCTTGCACCAGAAGGACGAGGTGAGTGAGTGTCCCTTTTAACATGGGGCCATACAGCATTTGCCTCATCTTAGCCCTGGTCCTGTTTAAGGTATCCAAGGACTCAGAGAAGAATACAGAATATATTTGTAAGAGCATCCAGTCCAAATAATTAACCCAGTCCAAGTCTTTACTCCTCTGTTTAGGTGCTAGCAGATCGACTCTCAGACTAGAGCTTCTTGCACTTCTCTTCATTCTGAAATAATTTTATATAAATGAATATCAGTGTTTATGTAAAAAGGCTAAAGCTTATTTTTTGTTAAGCAGATTGGGAAACTGGAGATAATTCTTTATATTCAGCTTCAGTTCTTTTTTCCCCTAATAATTGGCAAAGCTATTTTCTTGTCTCATACATCTGCTTCCCTGAGTTGTTAACTTCTCCCATTGGTTTTAATTATCTCATGCAAGAGATTTGGGGATAACCATTTAAAGTTGTCAAGCATTGTTCTGTTGGGTAGTATAAATACAATCAATGCGTACTGATTTGAAATCATTTGGAAAATTTCATTTTCAATATTTGCTAGAAAAGACAGCTGAGAGGGCTTGTTGAGGAATAAAGAGAAAGTTAACAAAGGTAATGAAATAAGAGTGAGAACAATGAGGAAAATTCAGCTAGGTATGAGTATTTTTTTCATATGAGTATTTTTAAACAGAATTGAAAGTTGTAATTCACTTTTGGGTTGGTAGGAACTGGTATCCCCTTGTTGGCTACAGTATTTGGAATTCGTAATAATAGTTGTGACAAATCAGATTGAGAGTAATTCAGTTTCATTTTACTGTCTAGCACTTCTGCAGAGCTGGCTTTCACATCATGGAGCTCATAAGAACCTTCCTACATGTCTTAGCTTGGGCTGCTACAACAAATACCTTAGACTGGGTGGCTTAACAGCAGACATTTATTTCCTATAGTTCTTGAGGCTGGGAAGCCCAAGATCAAGGTGCTGGCAGACTCAGTGTCTGGTGAGGGTTCTCTTTCTGGCTTGTTAATGGCTGCCTTCTTGCTGTGCCTTCACGTGGGAGGGATCACCTGTTTCACATCTTTCTTTCTTTCTCTTTCTTTCTTTCTCTTTCTTTCTTTCTTTCTTTCTTTCTTTCTTTCTTTCTTTCTTTCTTTCTTTCCTTCCTTCCTTCCTTCCTTCCTTCCTTCCTTCCTTCCTTCTCTTTCTTTTTCTTTCTTTCTTTCTTTCTCTTTCTTTCTTTCTTGCTTGCTTTCTTGCTTGCTTTCTTTCTTTCCCTTTCTTTCTTTCCTTCTTACTACCTTCTTTCCTTCCTTCCTTCCTTCTTTTTTTTTTTTTTCGACAGAGTCTCACTCTGTCCCCCAGGCTGAAGTGCAGTGGCGTGATCTTGGCTCATGACAACCTTCTCCTGCCTCAGCCTCCCCAGTAGCTGGGATTACAGGCCTGTGCCACCACTCTCAGCTGGTTTTTTTTTTTTTTTTTTGTATTTTTAGTAGAGATGGGGTTTCACCATGTAGATCAGGCTGGTCTCAAAATCCTGACCTCAAGTGATACCCCCGCCTTGGCCTCCCAAAGTGCTGGGATTACAGGCTTGAGCCATCGTGCCCGGCCTCACATCCCTTCTTATAAGGGAACTAATCCCTTTTATGAGGGCCTATTCTCATGAACTAATGACTTCCCAAAGGCCTTACTTCCAAATACTATTGTATTTGGAGATTAGGGCTTCAACATATGAATTTGGGGAGCTCACAGACTTTCAGTTCATGACACCAGATGTGTACATTTCACAGATCAGTAAACTAAATTTAAAAAAATTGGGAGGGTACCAACATGGCTTTTGCTGAGTACTCTCTGTTAAGTAAGGACATTAAAACAGTTAGCTACAATTTATTACTACAATCATTTAATTCCCCAAGAGTAATATTGGCAAAATTCCAGAGGAAATTAGGGCCATCCGCATGAAAGAACAGTTGACAATTTTACAGATACCTCTCTCCCTCTGTCTCTCAAACACACACACACACATACACACACATGCACTCATACACCCAAACATACCCTTTACATTGTTCTCAATATTAGTTTTTGCTTTTCAATATAGTCTGGTTAAATCTTTGCCAGAGACTGACATTAAGTCCACAGATAAGCATTTGGGATCTACAGATTTTCCAACCTTCTATCTTATAAAAAGCAAAAAGTCTAGAAAGCTAGACTAGTCTAGCAAATAGTCTAGAAAGATGTATGTATATTTCACTCTTAAAATCTTTATGGATTTTATGGGTATTTTCAAAAATGTAATATTTTTGTAAATGTAATATTAACTACAGATATGTTTATTTAACTACCTGCCAAAGTTTCCCTGCTTTAATACACATTAATTTATCTTAATTTTATAATCTCCTATAGTAGAAAATTAAAACTTTCCAAGATTTTATTACCAGACGCCAAATAGCAATGTTCTTTAAATCATTGTTTTATTAATAAAATGTGCAAATCTTTATTTTGAGAGTACTGGAAACAGAACAGTTGGTGATCTTCTGTCCTAAGATCAATGCCGCTTCTAGTGGAACATTAGACATGGGAGGTTTCCACGACCATTTTTGTACAGTTCAGATGTCAATAACATGACCCATTCGGTGAACAGCAAGAATAAAGCACAGAGAAGCATCAACAGCCATCATTCAAACTAAGTCATTTATAGTTCTACAACACACCTGCTACTCCAGATGAAATTCTGTGGCTCAGCAAAGTGCCCTAATTTGCATGGACTTTCAGTGACCTATCTGTAAGCACACAGCAAGCATACAGCTGCCTGGAAGATTGGGCCCTCTGTTTATACTTTCTTGTTCCTTGCTTACTGCAAGGAAGTACAATAAAGTAAGATAGCATGGATTAAAAACTGCAGACATTTTTTAAAAGGAAATAGGAATAGTGATTGATAAGATTAAGTGAAAGGTTGACAGTGAAAGGATAAGACAGAATCAAAGGTCAAATAAGTTGATTTACATTCAGGAAACTCCCTATGAATCCTGAAAATTTCTTTCAGGTGTTGAAAAAAAATAACACATGTATGTAAATTTTTTTTGTAGGTTTTTCAAAATAAACTGAGTTTGTAGGAGAAAACTTCAGGCCAAGAGAGCCTGAAGGTCTGAATGCACAGTTGGCCAATGGGCTTTGATCCAAGGGTCCTCATCCGCAGAGAGATGCTGAGTACAGGCAGTCCAAGAGCTTCTGACATGTCCGTGAGGGTGCTGCTTTCTATCCCATACAGTGTCTTTCAACTTTAGTTGAGAAATATTAAAGTGATTGTTAACACCTTTTCAGTACACTTTTGTACTGGCAATTTTAGAAGGGAATTTATTATTTCCTTGAAACATAATTGGTACTTCTATGTAACAGGAATGTAAGTGGGAACTACACCACTGAAAGGTGGGAAACCAGATGGAGAGTAAGGAAACCCAAGTTCTGGTCTTAACTTTGCTCTAAACCAACAATGTGTTGCTATGGGAAAACTACAACTATCTCTAGGTTTTTGTCCTCATTTGTAAAATAATGGTTTTAGAATTGATCTTTAAAGTCCCTTTCAGCTCTAAAGTGTTATAATGCATGATTTATGTTCTTTACCCTAGGGAAACATTTCACATAAATGTTAATTTCATTGCAATGTGTTCTGCCCTGCTAAGAGATTTTCAGATTAAAATCAGTATATAACGCTCTCCAGTTTTGAAACATTCCAAGGAGTAGATAAAAGTGATTTTGAAGAAAATGTATCATACTATCTCATACAGATATAATAAAATAAATACAGTACCTCATATAGATATATCAAATAAAAATAAGAATCAGTGTGGTTAAATAGAATAAAACAGTTTATACCTGTCAATGTTATGGGTCAAGTAGCCCATAAATAAAATCTTAAATCTCTTTTTTATTTTGCATTCCCTTTCTAAAACATTTTTCGTAATGGTGAATTGTATTAAACCTGTGATCCATCACAGTTAAGAGAGCATTACTGAGGCTACAGTCAGGAATAAAATCTTAGTTACAGGAAATTGACTCCTCATACATTCATGTATTGAAGTCTGGGACTCAGGCAGCTGCATTATTCTTCTCCTCCTCTGGATAGGAAATTATTTATCTTTCACTGTTTTGATTGGATGTTCTGCGTTTGGAAACTCCATCATTAATTTTCTTTCTGTTTTTGCTCTGATCTGTGCCTTAGGCCTGTGAAAGAGACAGCGCCTATTTGTGAAGACAGCGTAAGTTTATTCTGACCTTTGGTAGGGTTTGGCTCTGGGAGGCATGGCAGGAAATAAGCAGATGGGAGGAGAAAGAGGTATTCCTTTCTGATGTTTCTTCCCTGTTTCCTCTGCCTTTAGCTCTGCAGTTGTGCCTTCTCACATGGTGGAGCTCTCACTTGGTCCGGAAACACTGCTTCCTCCACTTGCCCCGGAAACACTGCTTCCTCCACTTGCCCAGTAGCCTCAGGGGTAATCGTATTCCTGCTCCAGCTAGTCTCTCCTTGATTCATCTCTTTGTGTTCCTTAAATCTTGCCCACAGCTCTGAGAATAGTACTTTCATTCCACTCTTTTCAAGATCCCAGAGTGGGGTGTCTGACTAGGGAGGCCTGGACTAGTACATTATCTTTCCAGAGTTTCTAAAGTCTTTCTATTAGGCATTTAGCCCCTAAAAGGCGGTTTACTTTGATTTTAAAATGAGACTTATTTTTTTATGGTTCCTATGAATTTTTAAGAACAAAAATATTACATAAAGAGAAACAGATTTCCTTGTAGTGGTAGTAAGTTTTTTATTTATTTGTTTTTGGTCATTAACTTGGACAACATATTCACAGCCAATACTAAAGAGCTGATCATGGAAAAGTCTGCAGGATACCTTTTCCTTCTCTTACAGCTTCCTTCTCACCCTCCTAAAAAAAATCCAATCAATCCCTTGTCCACTCTCTTCCCCCAAAAGGGAAAAGAAACCCACCCAAATCTTTTTGGATACATTAATTCTTATCAGTGCCACTTTATACCTGAGAGAGTAACAATTTCTATTTTGTGATTTTTTTTTGGATTCCTTAACGTTTATGTGGCAATCGCTGGTATAAGATTGACTTTCCAGTGTTACCACACAACACATCATAAGGCATCCACAAAAGACTAAAGATACTAGAATAAGCCAACTGATAACTGAGCTTTGATATACTGAGCTGCCATCATCTCTCTTTTCACTTAACGAATTCTTTGAAAGGAAGTTGGAAATCAAAGGCAAGGAGCAAAATGCCCAGTTGCCCAACAGAGATTTCTTTAGACTAAAGATCACCTAACACATTTGTTTCTCCTTTCTTTTTTCTTGTTAACTATGTCTGATCCTGCTGTACAGGTCTGGTTGATGCATTTTACCTGTGCTGCTCCTCCGTTTTCTCCTGCCATTAACTCTTCCTAGATTCCTAATATTTTTGAGAAGATTTTATCAAAGGACTGCATCCTTAGATTGAGTTTTAGACTCTCCCATCATAGAACAAAACCAAAAGCAAGACTAAAAGGTAACTTGATTTTATAAATTCTTTATGAAAGCTGTAGCATGGTGGCAGCTGGTATAGATGATTATTTGTAGCAGGAAAACTGTTTTATTTGTGATCAACAAATTTTGGTCATGCGTACGTACTCAAATCTGTGAAACTTGCTACAGGGATAACAGCACATCTCAAAAATCAATGAAATCAATGCCCGTGGTATACTACCTGAGTTGTTTTCCCTCCCCCATCGTACCCCTTTCTCTCTCTCCATTTTTAAAGGGTTAAACTGGGTGTTTTTCAGAGTTTTACAAGAGAACTATTAGTGAAAAACAATCTGATACATTCAAGTTACTAAGGCCCTACTCTTTCCCTCTAATCTTTCAGCAGGACCCAAGGGAGGCTAAAGTTTAGATCAGTCTATTCTCCACAAGAACTTTGATTCACTATTAAATTCCGTCTAATGAAGATGACTTTGCCATCCCACGGCCATCAGCAGACTATGTGTGGGACAATGCAAAACCCACCTTGTATAGAGGGACATTGTTCTTTCTTCTTAGTTACTCCAGTTGAATAGAATCTCATGGAAATTCACATGCACAAGAGACCTGTGAAATCAGTAACAGTACTAATCTCTAGGGTGCCATGGTGAGTCAACTTAAGGAAATAACTATTTTACTTAAGTACACACTTGTTCATGTCTTACATCATGTCATGTTTATGATAAGAGAAAACAGCTCTCTCTCACACACACATGCACACTCTCACACACACACACAGAGACTTTTCTTAATCATAAAGGTAAAGTTATAACATAAAATATACTGTAACTAGTTGAGGAGTATGCAATGATTACTTCTTGACTTGCAGATAAGAAATTTAAAAGAATGTATAAGCCTGAGATTTCTGGAGCTTACTTTAATGCAGAAAGGATTTCTAATATGCCAATCGTAGATACTAAAAACATCACAAATTATGAAACTGATTCTGAAATCAAGCTATTGTGTTGAATACAAAAAGTTTATTTGCTTCTATTTACTTTTTATTTACCTCACACATGTTAAAAAATTAGGAAAAAATGCAGCCTTACAAATACTTTTTCTATGGTCAATAATGATTTAAGGTAGTACGAGAGATAGAAAGATTTGTGTTCTTAGGAAGCAGTACACATAGTGGTTATATTCATGGACTCTTTCATTCTACTGTATACTAACAGTGTAGCTTTAACAATTACTTAACCTCTGGGCCTCAGTTTAGTCATTTGTAAAATGAGAATTACTCATCTATAAAACTTCTGCTTAAGTTGTAGTGTTGATGTGAAGATTTACTGAGATAATACACATAAAAAAGCTCTTAGAAGAGCAATTGAAACATTAAATAATACATGTGTTACTATTATTGATCTTTTATTGATCACACAATCATGCCCACTGTTAGCAAAGTATTTGGCTGTATAATGTGGAAAAACAATTTAATGTATTAGAGTCAAAATAATGGTTTTGAAATATGACATAACTCATATTGATTAACATGCAGCAAAATGTTAATTCTTCATATCATTTTTTCCTCTATTCAATTGGTTAGAGAAACAGTTAAATCTATTTTGGTGTATTAGTCTGTTTTCACTTTGCTGATAAAGACATACCTGAGACTGGGCAACTTACAAAAGTAAGAGGTTTATTGGACTTACAGTTCCATGTGGCTGGTGAGGCCTCATAATCATGGCAGAAGGTGAAAGGCACATCTCACATGGCAGCAGACAAGAGAAGAGAGCTTGTGCAGGGAAACTCCCCTTTTTAAAACCATCAGATCTCATCAGACTCATTCACTATCATGAGAACAGTACAGGAGAGACCGGCTCCCATAATTCAATCACCTCCCACCAGGTTCCTCCCACAACATGTGGGAATTGTGGGAGTTATAATTCAAGATGAGATTTGGATAGGGACACAGCCAAACTATATCATTCTGCCCCTGGTCCCTCCCAAATCTCATGTCCTCACATTTCAAAACCAATTATGGCTTCCCAACAGTCCCCCAAACTCTTAACTCATTTCAGCATTAACTCAAAAGTCTACAGTCAACATCTCATCTGAGACAAGGCAAGTCCCTTCTGCCTATGAGCCTGTAAAATCAAAAGCAAGTTAGTTACTTTCTAAATACAGTGGAGGTACAGGCATTGGGTAAATACAGCCACTCCAAATGAGAGAAATTGGCCAAAACAAAGGGGCTACAGGCCCCATGCAAGTCCAAAATCCAGCAGGGCAGTCAAATCTTAAAGCTCCGAAATGATCTCCTTTGAATCCATTTCTCACATCTAGGTCATGCTGATGCAAGAGGTGGGTTCCCATGGTCTTGGGCAGCTCCTCCTCTGTGGCTTTGCAAGGTCCAGACTCCCTCCCAGCTACTTTCATGGGCTGGCATTGAATGTCTGTGGCTTTTCCAGGTGCATGGTGTTAAGCTGCCAGTGGATCTTCCATTCTAGGGTCTGGAAGATGGTGGCCCTCTTCTTACACCTCTACTAGGCAGTGCCCTAGTAGGGACTCTGTGTGGGGTCTCCAACCCCACATTTCCCTTCTGCACTGCCCTAGCAGATGTTCTCCATGAGAACCCTGCCCCTGCAGCAAACTTCTGCCTGGACATCCAAATGTTTCCGTACATCTTCTGAAATTTAGGCAGAGGTTCCCAAACCCTAATTCTTGACTTCTGTGCACTTGCAGGCTCGACACCATATGGAAGCTGCCAAGGTTGGGGCTTGCATCCTCTGAAACCATGGCCTGAGCTCTTTGTTGGCCCCCTTTGGCCATAGCTGGAGTGGCTGGGATACAGGGCACCAAGTCCTTAGGCTGCACACAGTACAAGGACCCTGAATCTGGCCCATGAAACCACTTTTTTCTCCTAGGCTTCCGGGCCTGTGATGGGAGGGGTGCTGTGAAGACCTCTGACATATCTTGGAGACATTGTCCCCATTGTCTTGAAGATTAACATTTGGCTCCTCGTTATTTATGCAAATTTCTGCAGCCAGCTTGAATTTCACCTCAGAAAATAGGATTTTCTTTTCTGTCATATTGTCAGGCTGCAAATTTTCCAGACTTTTATGCTCTGTTTCCCTTTTAAAACTGAATGCCTTTAACAGCATCCAAGTCACCTCTTGAATGCTTTGCTGCTTAGAAATGTCTTCTGCCTGATACCCTAAATCATCTCTCTCAAGTTCAAAGTTCCACAATCTCTAGGGCAGGGGCAAAATGCCACCAGGCTCTTTGCTAAAACATAACAAGAGTCACCTTTGCTCCAGTTCCCAAGAAGTTCCTCATATCCATCTGAGACCACCTCAGCCTGGACCTTATTGTTCATGTCACTATCAACATTTTTGTCAAAGCCATTCAACAAGTCTCTAGGAAATTCCAAACTTTCCCATATTTTTCTGTCTTTTTCTGAGCCCTCCAAACTGTTCCAACCTCTGCCCTGTTACCCAGTTCCAAAGTCACTTCCACATTTTGGGGTATCTTTTCAGCAACACCCCACTCTACTGGTACCAATTTGCTGTATTAGTCTGTTTCATGTTGCTGATAAAGACATATCTGAGACTGGGCAATTTACAAAATAAAAAGGTTTATTGGACTTATAGTTCCATGTGGCTGAGGAGGCCTCATAATCATGGCGGAAGGTGAAGGCATGTCTCACATGGTGGCAGACAAGAGAAGAGAGCCTGTGCAGAGAAACTCCCTATTTAAAACCATTAGATCTTGTGAGACTCATTCACTATCATGAGAACAGTGCAGGAGAGACCCGCCTCCATGATTCAATTACCTCCCACTGGGTTCCTCCCACAACATGTGGGAATTGTGGGAGTTACAATTCAAGATGAGATTTGGGTGGGGACACAAATCTCCAAACTATATCGTCTGGTTATGATGAAGTAATTCCTATTAGACCAACCCTCCCACTAAGCATAACTATATTAACTATAAAAAACAAGATTCAAAAAGACAATTACCAGAGACATGGTAGAGTAAATACAAGCAGAAAAATCTGAAGAGAGCTTGGCTTTTGGAGGAAGGGAACAGCCATCAGTTTCTGGTATATATATATATATATATATATATATATATATATATATATTTTTTTTTTTTTTTTTTTGCCCGAGGGCAGGCTCACTCAGTGATGCAAGTAGCAGCTAAAATTTGGATGGAAATCTGCAATCTTAATGGCTCAAAGACTCAGGACAGAATTTGAGGCTGCCACAGCCACTGGTAAGTAAGGTAACATACTGGGTTAATAGTGTCCACTGAAAATTCATGTCTACTCCGAATCTGTGAATGTGACTTTATTTGAAAATAGAATCTTTGCAGATGTAGTAAAGTTAAAATGAGGTCATACTAGATTAGGATAGGCCCTAATCTAGCCTTATACGAAGAAGAAAATGTGGACACAGATACACAGAGGGAAGATGGCTATGTGAAGAAAGGGCAGAGATTGGAGTATGCAGCTATAAACCAAGGAATGCCAAGTATTGCTGGCAATGGCCAGAAACTGGGAGAGAACCGTAAAACTGAATCTCCTTCAGATCCTCTAGAAGAAATCAACCTTACTAGTACCTTCATTTTGGATTTCTAGCTTCCAGAATTACTAGAGAATACATTTCTTGTTTTAAGGCACCCAGCTTATTATACTTTGTTATGGCAGCTCTAAAAAACTAATACAGGGAGAAAATACAGGAAAGGAGAGGGGCATCCCAAATTCTGAGTATAAAATATGCTACTATTTCTGGCTGATCCATGAATTGCATATGCATGGAGTAGCTAAGGCTAAATAATTTAACAGGATTTCAGCTGCATCACTCCACAAGGGATAGAGAGTTTAAAGTTTGAGTTCAGCCAAGTTAACTGCCAGCTAATATAACAACAAACTCATCAAAAACCCCCACAATATTATCTGGAGGAATATAAGAGAATCCCGAGTCTTTACAATATTTCACTGAAAAGATACAATAAATATTTATAATATATCACTCACAGGATGCAATTCCAAATTACTAGACACATGAAACAATAGGAAAATGCAATCCTTATTTATGAGAAAAGGTAGTAATTTGTCTCTTAGGTGATTCAGATACTGAAATTATCAAATAAGGATTTTTTTTTGAGGCAGGGTCTTGCTTTGTTGCCCAGGCTGGGGTGTAGCATCACAGTCTTGGCTCACTGCAACCTCTGCCTCCTGGTCAACCTCCACCTCCTGGGCTCAAGCGATCCTCCTACCTCAGCCTCCCAAGTAGCTGGGACCACAGGTGTGCACCACCAAGCATGGTTAATTTATTTTTTATTTTTTGTAGAAATGGGGTTTCATCATGTTGCTCAGGCTGGTCTCAAGCTCCTGGGCTCAAGCAGTTCATTGCCTTGGTCTCCCAAAGTGCTGGGATTACAGGTGTGAGCCACTGCAGCCAGCCATATAAGGATTTTAAAGCAATTATTAAGCTATATTCAAGGATGTAAAATAAAATATGGCTGCAATGAGCTAACAAATAGGAAATTTCAGCCAAGAAATAGAAACTGTGAAAAAAACCAATTGGAAATTATTAAACTGAAATAAACATATCTAAAGAAATACTGAGAGTTTGAAAGAAGATCAGAGATGATAAATTATCATTGAATTTGAAAGTAGAGCAATAGAAATTATTCAATCTGAAGATCAGAAAGAATAAAGATGAAAAAAATAGAGTCTCAATATCTGTGGAACAATATCAAACAGTCTAACAGATAGTTAATTAGAGTGTAAAATATATTACCAATAATGGCTCAAAAGATCTTAATTTACAGATTTAAAAGTCTATAAATCTTATAAATCTAAAGATCTTATTTATAGATTTAAAAGTCTCACTGCTGAAAAAACATAAAACCACACCTAGATACATTATACTCAACCTGCTAAAAATTAAAGATAAAGAGAAAATATTAACAGAGTCAAAGGACATATGGTATACAGGGGAACAAGAATATAAATGATTTATTATCAAAAACAATGGTATACAAAAAACAGCAGTATACCATCTTTAAGACACTGAAAGAAAACTGTCAACTCAGACTTCTATTTCAATGAAAATATCAGGTATTTAGAAAATTGCTCAAATGTTGGAAAGTAAATAATATACTTCTAAATTACCATGACTGAAGGAACTCACTAGTGAATTTAGATATTTTAACTGACTAACAGTGAACACGGAAAGTTATAAAAAATCTGTGTGATGCAGCTAAAGCAGTGCTTGGAGGGAAATGTATAGCTTTTAAATGCCTGTATTAGAAAAGCAGAAAGGTGTGATACCAATGAAAAGCAGAAAATCATTTGAGAAATTCAACAAAAGCAAAAGCTAGTTGTTTTAAAAGATCAACAAAATTGATAACTCCTAGTTAGAATGATTAAGAAATAAAGAGAGGGACATAAATTATACCTATATCAGGAATTAAGAGAGAATATCACTAGAGATGTTGTAACTATTAAAAGGATAATAAGAGAAAATGTAGACAACTTTATGCCAATAAATCTAACAAGTTAGATTAAACAGATAAATTATTTGAAAAATACAACATATCCAAATTGACACAAGATACAATAGAAAATCTGAAGGGTCCTATATTGTTATACATTTATCAATTGATTAGAAAATTAACATTTCCCTCTTTTTAAAATCTTATACCTGGTTTTATACAACAGGGTGTCAATGTATTTTGTGTCTGCCATTGACCCCTTCTTTAATAGTCAAGTGATTACTCTCAAAATAATGCATGAAAATTTATTTATGCATAATAAAAATACACATGATTACAAAAGAAAATTATTACATTAAAATACAGTCACCAAAAATATATGGTACTCTATTTGCTTGTTTAGTAACACATTAAGTAATAAGATCTATTAGTGGATCTAATAACTATCATTATTTCAAAGTGGTGATGAGTATAAATGCTATTTTGAGACATCTGCAATAACAGTAATAAAATATCAAAACATCTGGGATTTCTGATGGTATTTTATACCCTATTTTAATTTGTTTTTATCATTAATTATTACCTGTTACAGATGTTCTTTGTGACAGTTCCATGTATGCAAATTACATGAACAAATGTCTCCTACTTACAAAGGTGCTTAATAATAATAATAATAATAATAATTTTTCTTTTACCATAGCTTTTTGGTGTGCTCTAAAAATAGTCATAGAAACCAGGTCTGCCTAAGAATACCAACTTTTTGTGAGACTTCCAGAACCTTGTATCTAGAGGTTACATTTTATTTCACATAAAGACTTGAGGCCTGTCTTTAGCGGGAACAGAGTTTGGTTCTGGAATAAGAAATTTGGCTTGATGAAGTGTATCTCATGGCTATTATATGAATTTTGCAAAGAAATATCTGTGTTTTTTTTTTTTTTTGAGATAGGGTCTCACTCTGTTGCCTGGGCTGGAGTACAGTGGCACAATCGTAGCTCACTGTTACCCCAAACTCCTAGACTCAAGCAATCCTCCCACCCCAGCATCCTGGCTAATTTTATTTTTATTTTGTGGAGACAGGGTCTCACTATGCTGCCCAGGCTGGTCTTGAACTTCTGGCCTCAAGCAATCCTCCTGCTTCTGCCTCCCAAAGCACTGGGATTACAGGTATGAGCCACCACCACCAGCCTGCAAAGAAATATTTGAATGAGGGATGGTGGAGGATATGTTAAAATTGCCCTAAAAAGAAGGCAAAATATAAAAGAATGATTCAGATTTAAAAATGGCACAAGAGAAAGAAATACAAATCTTGGATAAATCAGAATTTTCTTTCTCTAACACCTTATCCCATATGAAATAAGAGCTAAGATGTGTTTTTCAGAATATACGAAAGCAAATTTGTTTCTCTTGCTATAGTTATTTTTATTGTTTATTTAACACTTTACACGGATTTCCTATATATGGATATTTGGGGACTTTGTGTCCCCCAGATAGCCCTCTTTTGAATGAAGTCAGTTTTTGTCTTTTTCAGATTGTTGATAAGTTAAAGTCTGCCCTGGGCCTGGGCCTGGATGCTTGTAGGACAGTCAGAAAAAAAGATGCAAGACTGATAGACTATATTTTAAAACTAGGAGACTAAGCAATAAGATGAAAGATATAGCTGAAAAAAGGTTCAGTTAAAGATACAAGATTCTAAGTAATTTTCTATTAGCATAGGCTAAAAGGAAGAGATGAGATGGAATCAGATTAGAATGTCCTACCAGGTTTTGACATTCTCTGGCTTAGCATTAAATTGTGCAGAACAATAGCTATGTGGCCCTGTCCATTGAATTGGGTTTATAGATACCTTTATACCTATAGAATTGTCTTAGGTCAAGAAATATATGTTAATAAAATATTATACAACACTTTTCCTATTTAAAGGCAGAGAGTTTGGGGGCTGCCATTGAATGTAAGGATGAGAGAAAAATGAAGAACCTAGGCTCTGTAATTTAGAGAAAGCAAAATAAAGTGTTTAAGTGAGGGCAAAATAAATAGCAAATGAATAATAAAGCTTTCTGAAGTTATATTTTTTTTTCTTAAATTTGTTTTATTTAACACAAGGTGGAAATCTGAAAGTGAAGACATTCCTCTTTCTCTTTCTTTTCCCCTGTCATCTTTGTCATATTCTGTTGGTTAGAAACAAGCCACAGGTCCCACCCACACTCTAGGTAAGGTAATTTGTGGGGTTTCAACATGGGGATCACCTTAGGATCTGTATGCTATAATGGTCCTCTGGCCCCCAGTGATTCATATTCCTCCCAGATTCAAAATATATTTGCTCCCTTCCAATATTCCCAAGAATCCCATTCCATTATAGTATCAGCTTAAGGTCCAAAGGTCACCATTTATACCAGACCCAAGTGTAGATGAGGCTCCTGGATGTAATCCAATAAGTACACTTCCTAGGGCATAATTCTTCTGTATCTGTGATCTTTGAAAGTACTATCTGCTTCTAACACACCTAACATTAGATGGTGGGGTGGACATAGGATAACAGCAAAAGACATTCTAGTTCAAAACATGGGGGAGTAGAAGATAAAAAGGATCACTGGTACAAAGTAGTCATCAAATCCAGCTGGTAAAACTCCAGCCAGAGTTCCTTTATTAGGTTTCAAGGGTCTTAATTTAATTCTTCATGGGTCTGTCTCCATCCTCTGGTCTCTTGTTCCTGCCCTTGAGTAATCCTCTTCTTATGTAAGGCAGCATAGGTATGCCACTGAGTACTTTCATCATCCTACTTTGTGCCAGTAGAATTTTGGGAGTCCAACAGCCTCCTTTTCTTTTTTTGTTCTCTGTCCTTAGGGGAAAAGAAAGAGAGAGTGAAATGTCCTCACTTTCAGATTTCTTCCCTGTGTTTAATAAAACAAATTTGAGAAAAAATATAACTTCAGAAACACTTCCAGGCTGGAAACGTTTCTGCTTAAATAATCTTCTCAAGAACTTCATGGGTCTCCTCTGAATCTCAAAGGTGTTCTCTCCATTAAACAAAAGTTATATTTACAGACATTTTGGAGATAATCTCTTTCTACCCTTGCTACCTGCTGCTGATGGGGCTGAAGCACAACGTCCTTAAGCTTCCTAGGGGCCCTATGGTCACATTGAGAGAATCTGTATGGGAGACCCTTAATTTCTTGAAATAGTCTTTTGTGTGACTGAATATGCTGATTTTTAAAAAATCTGTGATTTAAGCAAAGAGTTTTACAGTCACAACATTAGCCATTTTTTTCCCTAGAGTACACTTTCCTGACCATAAATCTCTTAATTATAGCATCTTTTGCCATGTGAAGAGATGAAGAATTTCTGAAATCATTCAGTCCTGGTTGCTTTTTGTTTTATGCTTTATCCCTCAATCTTTCTCTTTCCCCTTGCAATTTACCATACTTTGTTTGGAGATCTCTCTAGCAATATAATTAAATTTATAACTTAAAAGTTCTGCTTTCCACATAAGTGCAGAGATAATATCACTAAACATCCCACCACTACATAGCACTGATCCCCCTTTCTCTAACTCCTAATAATATGTTTTGCACTTCCACTGGGCCTTCTGTGGCAGCATCCTTGAAGTTCATATTTCTTTTTTTTTGTTTGTTTGTTTTTTGAGGCAGTGTCTCGCCCCAGACTGGAGTGCAATGGCGATATCTTGGCTTACTGCAAACTCTGCCTCCTGGACTCAAGTGATCCTCCCACCTCAGCCTCTGAGTAGCTGGGATTACAGGCATACGCCACCACACCTGGCTAATTTTTTTTGTAATTTCTGTAGAGACAGTATCACCATGTTGTCCAGGCTGGTCTTGAACTCCTGGCCTCAAGTGATTCACCCACCTTGGCCTCCCAAAGTGCTGGGATTACAGGCGTGAGCCACTGTGCCTGGCCTCCTTGAAGTCCATATTTCTATTAACAGTCTGTTCAAGGTGAGGTAGGCTTTCTCTATCATGCTCCTCTAAATTCATCCGGCCTTTACCCACTGCTAAGTTCCAAAGCTGCTCTGCCTTTTTAGGTAATTGTTACAGCAGCATCATACTTCCAGATATCAGTTCTCTATATTGCATAATAAATTGCCACAAATTTACAGTCTAAAACAACATATTGGGTATCTTACAGCCAGCGTCCATGAGTTAGGAATCCAGGTGCAGCACAGTTGAATTCTCTGCTCCAGGGTCTCACCAGGCTGAAATCCTGGTGTTAGCCAGTGCTGCAGTCTCACCAGAGGCTCAACTAAAAAAGATCTACATCCAACCTCCCTCAGGTTGTTGGCAGAGTTCTTGTCCTCATGTTTGTAGGACTGATATTCCTGTTTTCCTGTTGTCTGTCGGCTGAGGGGCTTCTCTCAGTGTCTACAGGGTGCCTGCAGTTCTTGACCCTCTGGCTATCTCTGTAGGCCCTTCTACAACATGGCGGTTTACTTCTCAAGGCTAACAGGATGGTTTCTCTACTCTCTCTCTTTTACAAATAATGTTATGTTTTCCATGACCAGATTTAGGTGAAAAATATATTTAGCATTGCCAGAATATCATAAAAAAGAATGGATTGCTTTCTTTTTGCTGCAAATTTGTATTTTGCAAAACCGAAATGGATATACAATCATTAACTATCAGAAAATCAATTTGTAACTTAAGCACAGTTTCTTGACAAACAATAGCAACAATAACTAAAACCACCTTACATTAGTTATGTTAGCTGACAGTATTATTCAATACAAATAATCTGTTAAAATTGAGAGGTGATTTGGAGATTATGGCTAATTATATGACTCCTCCTAACTCGTGTGACTATCCTTGCTTACCTATCTGCATGATGTATTTGATGCACTGGGTCAATTGCTGTCACTGTGTTGGTCATGAAAAATTGAGCTCTGTCTGTAAAGAGTCTGTCTTTGAATGGTCCTCACTAACACAGAAACTCACGTACATTTTTGTTGATATTTATTCTTTCCTGAATTTCCAATTTCTATCTGACTGTGTCAGTTCTTGGAAGCAATTTATCCAAATAATTCAGTTTTTAGGAACTGAGATGATTTTAAATTGAGCACCAATGCCTTTTGAAAAATTCTCTCTATAGTTTTGCCTTAAATTACAGTTTACTTCTTTTTCAGGTTAGAACTTCTTTATCTTTGACCTGGACCATTACAGTCAGTCCACACTTCAGAAGTTCTCAAATATTCATTTGTCTCCACCATAGTATATTTTCTCCATTGCCACCATAATTGCCTTTCCTGTGTGTGTGTGTGTGTGTGAGAGAGAGAGAGAGAGAGAGAGAGAGAGACAACATTTTGTTCTCTGCCATGGAAATCCTTTCATGGGTCCACATAGCATCTATGTGGTAAACTCCAAACTGATAATTATGACAAAATACCCTCCATATCTCGGCCTCTATCTTGTTTTTAGTTGCTCTCCCACATGCACTTGTTACATTGAACTTCTCATTATTCCTTGATTACACCAACTATTTTCATGCTTACCTTGTTTGGTTCTTGCTTATCAAAGCCCATAAAGTCCTATTCCCTCCTCAACAAGGCAAAAGCTTATTCGTTCCTTCAAGGCCCAACTTAGATTATCAATACTTTTTGTGATGTGCTGCTTAATCATCATCCCTCTCAAGGTACAAATAGTTACTTTTACTTCTATATCACTTGTAGATATTTGCCATTGCACTTTTCACAACCTGCTGCAAATACTTACGAGTCTATCACCACATGGTAAGCACTGTGTCTTTATTTATTCTGGTATTCCCTAAAGCCAAACACAGGACTTTGAGGGTTTGTTGAAGAATCTGAAAAATTAATTAAGCATAGTATGCCTCTAGACTTAGGTAAGACTCTCCAATGTTGCTAGAATAATATTTAGAAGTAGCCGTTATCTACTTTCACCAAGGGATCAAAGTTAATGTCAGCCATGATGGGACAAATTGACATTGTGCACCGCCTAATATGATGCGCTGAGAAGGATACAACATCACCACCGTGGTATTCTTCCTAGTAATGAATGACATAAATTTGATCACAAGGAAACATTAGATAAACCCCAATTAAGCACCATTCTAAAAAATAGCTGGCTAGTATTCTAAAAAGTGTCAAGGTCTTAAAAGACAATGAAAGGTTAAGGAACTGTTCCAGATTACAAGAGAATAAAGAGATATGACAACTAGGTGCATTAGGTGATAGTGGACTAGATCCTGAGCCAGAAAAATGACATTAGTGTGTAGATTGACAGAATTTGAATAAGGTCTGTAAATTAGATAAAAGTACTATTTACTGTTAAGGCTAATTTCTAATATTAATTTCTTGATTTTGATGATGGCACGGAGGTTAGGCAAGTTAAAGTGTGGAGTGTGGGTGAATGTATATGTTAATTCTTTTTACTATTTTTGCAACTTTTTTGTATGTCTGATATTATTTCAAAATAAAATGTTTAAAAATTTCAAACTGAGAAATTAAAAGGATTAAACAAAAAAGTAGCTCTTGTGCTTGACTTACTCCAGCCTGCAATTGTTATGGGATGTTTGCTATCTATCAGTTATTATGCTGAGTTGGAAGCAGACACAGTTCTTTGCTCCTGGAGCATTTATTCTGAAGGGGGAAAACATTAATTAAAAAAAAATTACAAGAGTGTACATTTCTTTTTTGCCATTAAGGTTTTTTACCACAGACTAAGATGCTGGGGCAAGATTTAAAAGCACCTGGGGCAGGGCAAGATGGCTAACACCTGTAATCTGAGTGCTTTGGGAAGCCAAAGATTGCTTGACGTCAGTAGTTTGAGACCAGCCTGAGCAACACAGTGAGACCTTGACTCTACAAAAAAATTTTTAAAATATTAAGTGGGCGTGGTGGCAGTCACCTGTAGTCCTAGCTATTTGGGAAGCTGAGGTGGGAGGATTGCTTAAACTTAGGAGTCTGAGGCTGCAGTGAGCTATGATTGCACCACTGCGCTCCAGCCTGGGTGACAGGGCCAGACTCTGTCTCTGAAAAAAGAAAAAAAGTGTACATTAAAAAATAAATAAAAGCACCATAACTTCGATTCTAATGTTGTAAATTAAATCCTAATACTCTGATTTTAAGTCCTAAGTCTACCTACCCGATTCAATCTATACTCAGCACTTCTTCATTCATCATCCCCATTATTCACCTTATTTTTGTGGGGCAAAGGCATCTCCCCAAACAGGTAATAAGAGATGAAATCAACTTTATCTTTTGCCTCTGCATCTTCCTGGGTCTTTGTGTCCAGTATTCAATAAATGTTAAATAAATACTTATTTCTTAAGTTTCATTTAACTCTGTTTGAAATTTATACATGAATTTTGAAATTCACAAAATGGTGAAACAGAGTCCTAAAGTCTCCACAAAATAAATATAAATCTTTCAAAATAAGAAACACAAATCACAAATTTGCATGTGTGTGTACATTGCTGGGGACATCAGACAATATTAGATGTTGATTGCATATATATATCTATATTCCATCTATTTTACATTATAAGTAAAAAAACTGAATATTCAGTGACCAGGCTATATGTATTATTCTTTACAGAAACTACTGTACTCTTGTACTACCATATAATCCAGCAATTCCACTGTTGGACATATATCCAGAAAAAAGAAAACCAGTATATCAAAGAGATATCTGGCTGGACGAGATGGCTCATGCCTGTAATCCCAGAACCTTGGGAGGCTGAGGAGGGCAGATCACTTGAGGTCAGGAGTTCGAGACCATCCTGGCCAACATGGTGAAACCCCATCTCTACTAAAAATACAAAAAATTAGCTGGGTGTGGTGGTGAGTGCTTGTAGTCCCAGCTACTCGGGAGGCTGAGGCTGGAGAATCACTTGAACCTGGGAAGCCGAGGTTGCAGTCAGCCAAGATGGCTCCACTGCACTCCAGCCTGGGCGACACAGTGAGATTCTGTCTCAAAAAAAAACAAAACAAAACAGATATCTGTGGCTAAAGAAAAATATTATTCAGCCATTATAAAAAGAATGCAATTATATCATTTGCAGCAACATAGATGGAACTGGAGGAGATTATTTTAAGTGAAATAAACTAGGCACAGAAAGACAAATATTGCATATTTTCATTCACGTGTGGGAGCTAAAAAAAAAATGGTCTTATGGAGGTAGAGGATAGAATGGTGGTTACCAGAGGGTGGGGAAGACAGGGGGAAGGGGATCTTGTGGGGAGATTAGTTAGTGGGTACTATCATACTTTTGGATAGAAGGAATAAATTCCAGTGTTTGATAGCATAGCAGGGCCAGCTATAGTTAGCAATAATTTGTTGTATATTTCAAAATAGCTAGAAGAGAAAATTTGGAATATTCTCAACACAAAAAAGTGATAAATGAAGTGATGGATATCTCAATTACTCTGATTTGATCATTGCATATTGTATGCTTGTCTCAAAACATCACACATACCCCATAAATGTGTACAACTATTATGTATCAATAAAAATTATTGTTATCTCTGAAGGGGATAGACTGGCAAAACAAATAATCACATAGCACAAGTCAAATTCCCTAATAAAACTAAGTCCAAATAGGTAATGTACACTTGATTATATTTAATCTTTATGATAGCTTAAATAATCAGTTATGAAGTTGCAGTTTTTGAGTTTTGCTGCCTGATCCAATACTTCTTGTGATTCATGGAGAACTTTTATTGCTATCTGTGGTCATAACACATAATATAGAATTTAATTCTATGCCCTTAGTCTTATTAGAAGATTCTCTGATCAACAGCATCCAACAAAATTAAAGTAGACTGTTTTATAGCATAGAGATGTGGGAAGCAAGTGAACTAGGAATACAAATATTGGGTTGACAGTTCTGCACTACCTCTCTGTCTTACTAGGGACTCTGCCATTGTTTGCCCACCAGTAAGTTAGTACAGTGGTTTTGGAGAAAGTGCTCTAACATTAAAAGTTCAAAGAACTTAATGAAGTATTTGTAGTCATATTTTACTTTCTAGCTCAAGTAATAAATGACATGATAAATATCAGATTTTTTCAATCTTAATGGATAATTTTTTTTTTTGCTCTTCTTAGGCCTCAAAGTACAAACTCTTAAAGATGAACATTTGAGTCTCTAATGATGATTTAAATCTTCAATTGATTCTTTGGATCAATTGTTCACTGTGCAAAAATGTCAAAGATTGCAGTCCTATCATGTTTTCTTTCACCTTTCATTAAGCTTTCAAAATCCTTGATATGAATAGACTTTTTCTCTCTCCCAGGGCCTTTTAATTTTTAATCACTTCTTTCTCAAATGCTGATCATATTTCTGAGAAATTACTTCATGTAAAAGATGGAGGAAGATAGAGTTGCCACATACCTTTTTATCTTTTCTGTAAAATTATTTGGACCTAAATTTGTGGTGACAGGGCTGCTTCTCTCTAATAGGCCTTGTTGTCATGGAAGCAGGCTGTTGAAAGGGCAATACCCAAAGCCTCCAAGTCTTTGCGTGTTTATGTCCAGATTCAAAAATACATAAACCGTGGTTTCAGCTGGGAAGATGTGTACAGTGACACTAGCTGAAATGCAATATTTTACAAAAGCAAAAGTCACAGATGTCAATATAGCAGAGTTGAGCCAATCACATACAATCAGGATTTTTTACACAATAACCTAAGATTTGAAGTAATTTTTTAAAAAACCTTTTTAGGAACCACAGAGAAGTCATCATTCAAGATCCGAAATGAAGAAAAAAAAAGGAAGAAAAAGGAAAGAAAACAGAGCCAACTATTTATTCGCCAAGCTCCGTAAGTATAAGATCCATGCCTATCATGTCTACTTTCTGTGTTCTCATTGTTTTGTCAGTGCATAACATATAATATTATAGGTGTTCAATAAATATATGTTAAATGATTGAAGACATAGGGGTAGCAAATACCAATGTTACAGCAAAGAGATTTGACTAATCATGGTGTGGAGAATCCAAAAGGGAAAGTATTAGCCCTCAGAGTGTTATGTATGTGAAATCAGACAGACTCACCTAGCTACTCCTATTAGGGTGAGAGAGGTGCCTAGGGACTGATCTACTGCAGGAGTTAGAGTAGAATACACAATTACAGTGTTCAAGAGCTATTGCCCATGTCTGGACTTGATCCAGGCCAACAATCAATAAGAGCAGACTAAAATGGAGTAACACAGCCACTCTCCATGTGGGTAGGCTATAGGGCTATTTGAAACTCCAGGCAGACAGTCAAGTCATGGGCAGTGTAAAACTGTTAACAACGTGCCTGCTGTGGAAATGGTATGTGACATCACAGAAGTATTTCTACAGGTATTTTTTCCCTAACCATTGCAGTGTTATTTAGGGATTAGTATTTGACATATTCACTCTTTTCCAGATGATAATTTTTTTTTAAGCAAATATATGCATCGCAGCCTAGGTAACATAGCAGAACTCTGTCTCTACAAAATATAAAAAATTAGCCAGGTGTGGTGGCACACACCTATAGTCCTAGCTACTCAGGAGGCTGAGGCAGGAGGATTGTTTGAACCCGGGAGATCAAGATTAGAGTGAGCTATGATCATGCCACTGCACTCCAGCCTGGGCAACAGAGCAAGACCCTGTCTCAAAAATAAATTTTTTGAAAATAAAAAATATGCATAAAAATAAAAATAATCTCTTTTAAATTTAAAACATTGTATTTTGAAATAATTTTAGGCAAAGTTATAAAAGTAGTACAGAGTCCTTATATAATTTTTGTTCAGCTTTCCCTAACATGTGAACATCTTACGTAACTGTATTACAATGATTAAACCCAAGAAAGTAACATCAGTACAATACTGTTAACTGAACTAAAAGCCTCATTCAAATGTCCTCAGTTTTTTCACCAACAAACTTTCTTGGTTCCTATATCTATTCCAGGATCCCACATTGTGTTTAGTTTTCAGATAATCCTTAGTCTCTTCCAATCTGAAGTCACACCTCTTAAAGAAGATAACTTTTTTTTTAACTTCTTATCAGAATAATATGTTTTATTCACTGAGGAATCCCTAGTGTCTGGCATGTTGAAGTGCTCCATAGGTATATGTTTTGAATGAGATAACCTGAGTTCTCACTAGCTGAATACTGATGGTGTGTCAGGATACCACTAGTCCTTTCAGCCACAGGGACCATTGTGCTAACAATGATGACTTGAAATGTGATGTGATGAGGGCAACCACAATGGCACTTATGAACTTCAGCCCATAACAACAGAGCAGAGGAAAGGAGGGGCATAACATAAGATTCCTTAACTATTTCATCCATTTAGGAGAGGTTTTTTGTTTGTTTTGTTTTGAGACAGGGTCTTGCTATGTAGCCCAGCCATTTTGAAGAAGCTTTTTAATTATTATTATTATTATTATTATTATTATTATTATTATTTTTTGGAGACGGAGTCTCTCTCTATTGCCCAGGCTGGAGTGCAATGGTGCGATCTTGGCTCACTGCAACCTCCACCTCCTGGGTTCAAGCTGGAGAAGGTTTGTATTTTAAAAAATACTGGTGCTGGGCATACTGGCTTGGGCCTATAATTTCAGCTACTTGGGAGGCTAACACAGGAACATCACTTGAGGCCAGAAGTTCCAGACCAGCCTGGGCAACATAGCCAGACTAGGCTGGGCCACATAGTGAGACCCCCACCTGTAAAAAAAAGTGAAAACAAAAACATACTGGGTAATGTGTAGTAACTTTACTGATTTTATATGTTTCTATGACAATAGAAACAAATGATACGAAGCATTCTTAACCAATTTTGAGTCTGTAATGGTAAATCTGTAAATTTAGACAAGAAAGATCGCAATACCATATGGTTGCCATATGAAGAACAAGTTCTTGATAGATGTCTTTGGAGTTTCCACGGCTTTGGATAAAAGTGCCAAAGAAGTGTATAAACATGAAAGTGCATAAAGGTCACCAAAGGCGCTTATTTAAAATGCTGACTCTAGGGCTTGGTGCCTAAAGGTCCTGATGTAGTAGTTACAGGGTGAGATCCAGATATTTTAATTTTTTAAGCTCATAATTTTATAGTACTTGCTATATGCCAGGCAGTAATTTACAGATAGTTACTAACTTAATCTTAGTACAAAGAGGAGAAGGAAACAGACACAGAGAGGTCTAAGAGCTAGTGAGTGGTAATGCCAGGCTTTTCAACCAGGCAGACCAGGTCTGTAGTCTGTTGTCTCAACCACTCTGTATACCACCTCACTTTTAACCATCAATCCAAGTGATTTTTTACAAAAGTGGTCCTTAGTCCAAACTTTGAGGAGCATTTTTCTATGTGATCAGTATATGGGCTTCAGGGAATCCATGAAATCCTTAAATTACATGCAAAATTGGTATATATGCCATCTGTAGGCACACTTTTGTATAGAAGTCCATAGTTTTCTTAAGATTTGTGAAGGGCTCTATGACACAACTGTCCTCAATGTAAGAATCACCCACGTAAATAAATTAAAAATGTATTTTGCTCCTGAACAAACTTATTTACTGAAGGCTTACAAATACTATTTATAAAGTATTTATTGAATCATAATTGGGATATTGTTATATGTGGCAGCACTTCAAAATATGTCATGTATGTCTTAAACTTGAGTAGAATAATTTCACATAGCTTTTCTTTTATTTTTTTCAATAAACTGCATTGGCACCTACTTATTATCAGGCAGTTTATATTCTCTTGAAACTCCATTAATTTTTCAATTGTTCAACAATTCCAAGACCTTTTACAATCAATCAGGGGTTAGTCTTTTTCCAAATGCTATGGAAAGAAAAAAAATACGTGGAGCCTCTTCAGTCTACTATTGCTTTTGCTTCTCCCTGCCGAGGAGTGGCTATGGGTTAGAATAGGGGTTGGTCCACTGCTGTTAGGTGGTCCTTCTGATCCAGGTCTTATTCAGGCTGCGGATGCCTCATTGAGCTCCAGTGTTACAGCTCTCCCTGTTTCATGTTCCCACAGTCAGCCATTGCTCTGCACTGCCCAGCAACCATGCTAGACAGATGCTATCCAGTGAAACTGCTGGTACCATGACAGCCTTCCTTGACAAAACCTTTGGTCCTGTTGCTGAACTCCAGTTTTTGGCCCAGAATCCTCATTTTCTACTGGCAATTTTAATTTACTTGATTACTTAATCTATCCTACACCTGGGCCTTACTCCTGCCACTGTGGTCTCCTCTATATCAACAAGACTTCCTAATGCTGAATTTTGAGAAGTAGGAACAGTAGGAATGGGAACTTTCACTTTTTTTCTTCCAAAAAAGATGAAGTTTTCTCATACAAGTTTATCTGCCTTTCCCCAGTAACTAGTTCTACTGAGGCAGTTTTTGCTAATCCAGAAACAAACAAACAAACAAATAAATAGTCTGGTTACAACTTCCTTGATGACAAAGGCTGCAGCTCACATTACCTTTGCATAACTCAGTAGGGCCATTCAAGTGACTGAACCCAGAACAAAGACAGTCTGGTCAAATGCAACCTGCAGTTCTCATCCTTAGGCACAGGAGAATGTACCTTAAGTTTTAAATTTTTCCCTCAACTGGCACTTGATATAACCTTCACCTTAACAGGAATCCTGTTACTCAAATTTAAACAGTATTATAAACTTGAGGCAACTTCTGATAGTCAATATGGAAGTAAAAGTAGAGAAATACAGAATTACTATTTAAATATAATAATTTGACAGAAAAATCTTACTTTCCCACTTTGAAATTAACATTGGAATTGGAATTGAAAATATGCAAATTTATAATGAATTTATGCTAGGTAGAAAGTGCAACTCATATCCCGGTTTTATGTATATATTAAAATATGTATATGCAAGAAAACTTCAGCAAGCACTTATATTCTGTGGTTAAATATAGTTTTCTTACTGGTTAGATTGTTCTTTTAAGCTTCTGAATGGAGTTCGGAATAGCCAAAGGATGCTTCAGCCCTTGGCGAATCTGCAGTGATTTGGTCCCTCTGTGGACGGGTTTTTTAGCAAGAATTAGACTGTATGCCATTTATAGCAAGGTTAGAAGTGGTTGTGTTTGTGGGAGTCTGTGTTTCCAAAGATTTTTTTGTACTAAATTTCCTCCTGGGTGGGGAACAAGACTTTATTTTGCTTTTCATCTCTTCTGCTTTTTCCCGAGGTACCTAAGAATTGTTTCAAACATGTACAGTGCATGAACTTCTGGATAGAAGGTAGCAGGTTTGTGAGCTTTAAGAAAGACGGCTCTTGGTAACAAAAAGCTCCCAGACCAGTTATACTCAGGAAGCAAGATTTTATCTTCTCAACATTGAGAGACTCCACTTCCTCACTGGTAATATGGGGAAAATATTGGCTCTCACTACCTTACAAGGCTGTGTGAGAAATAAATGAGATAAAAGATAGCAATCATTTCAAAATTCTAAAAAACACAAATATAAATTATTAATCCAGGCTAGAAAACCTTAAGTTTCAAAGTTAAAAGGATAGTGCCAATTTAATGAAAAAGTCAATATGTGATATTTTGTTTACTAGTGTGCTTATAATTTTATCAATAATAGAAAAATAATCATATATAATATGGTTAAATTGTTCATATTGATGACCTACCCCTCTTGTACATACTCCAAGAAAACCATAAAATACTGTTCTTTAATGTGGTAAACATGGGCTCAAAATGTTAATACTAGACATCTTTATTATTATTATTTCTTTCTTCAGAATAAGAACTCTTTGAAAAATACTTGCAACTTCAATCATTACCTTTTAAAACAATCCTGTGGATGAAATAAGTCCTGGACATGAAGTTCAGTTCGCAGTTTATAGTCCCTAAATCCCGTGCCTCATTTTGGACATGACATTCTGTAGTTGTCTCTTTTCCTTTGGTGGTCCACATTTGCAAGTGTATGCGGATGTTTTGAGAATCTAGTATTTTTGCAAAGTTGACTTGTGGAGTGGATTTTAAAAGATCATGGAGTATCAGTGATCCATTAAGAAAAAAACAAATTTTACCACCCACATAATGTTGGCCCAACCTTGTTAATGGAAAAGAAATAAATATTCTGAGCAAATTAATTCAGAGCCTCTCCAAGATTTTTTAATGTAGTTCAACTCCTTTAAGATATGCTTGGAATTTTTGTTTTGATTGATATTTCATATTAACAAGCTGACCTCCATTAAAGCCTTGAAGTCAGAACCATTTGACTATGTTCACTCACCCGTGAGAACTGATGTTAAAGATTTAATAAAGGTTGTTAGGAAGGATAGGCCAAGGTGATTCCCATGATGAAAGTCAGTATGACACTCGGGGCAAATTATACAGACCAAACATCACTAAGGAGAATAGACACACCTAAAATTTCAGTAAGGGATATAATGAATCAAAATGAGAAAGGTGAGAAACTAAATTTAACTAGTAAAAAAGTGATGTTTTTCTTCTTTTAGTAGATTAGTTTAGACTTTTGTTGAAATGACAGTTATTTTGAGGTCATACTTTTATAACCCATTATGCCTTAAAATGTTTTTTGTGGCTTTAAAGTTTTTTGGTGTGTTTTCGTTCTTTTGATTATGTGTGTGTGTGTTTGGAAGGTTTGTATTTGTGTTCTATTTGTGACATTGATAGCTGTAACTTTACATAATGCTCTAACCCCCTACTTCTTTAAACAGTATCTGTGAATAGTAAATAAAATTATTTCTTCTTTCTTTACATTCTTTTACCCATTCCTTTTTCTTTTCAATTTTTATAGGTTATAATATCTTGCTTGGTGTTTTAACTTTTGCTGTTGCAAGTTCTTTGTTACTCTATGATATTATTTTATTTTATTATTTATTATTTTACTTTAAGTTCTGGGATACATGTGCAGAACGTGCAGGTTTGTTACATAGGTATACACGTGCCGTGGCGGTTTGCTGCACCCATCAACCCGTCATCTACATTAGGTATTTCTCCTAATGCTATCCTTCCCCTAGACCCCCACCCTCCTAGAGGCTCCAGTAGGTGAGGTTCCACTTCCTGTGTCCACGTGTTCTCATAGTTCAGCTCCCACTTATGAGTGAGAGCATGCAGTGTTTGGTTTTCTGTTCTTGTGTTAGTTTGCTGAGAATGATGGTTTCCAGCTTCATCCATGTCCCTACAAAAGACATGAACTCATCCTTTTTTATGGTTGCATAGTATTCCATGGTGTATATGTGCCACATTTTATTTATCCAGTCTATCATTGATGGACATTTGGGTTGGTTCCAAGTCTTTGCTATTGTGAACAGTGCCTCAATAAACATACATGTGCATGTATCTTTATAGTAGAATGATTTATAATCCTTTGGGTATATACCCAGTAATAGGATTGTTGGGTCAAATGGTATTTCTAGTTCTAGATCCTGGAGGAATTGCTGCACTATCTTCCACAATGGTTGAACTAATTTACACTGCCACCAACAGTGCAGTTTGAATCATGAAATGTAGTATCTTGTGTCAGAGGCAGTCAGTCATCATTAAAATCTACTCTTCCCATCTTCTGCAGCAAAAATTCATACTTGCCTTCTTGTACATATGGCTGCTCAGTTACTGGCTTCTTTTCCCAACCACCATGCAGCTATGTTTCACTTTGTGCATAGTACGCAATGCAAGCAAAAAAGACAATGTGCCTCTTAAGAGATTTTGGCCTTAAAACATGGAATGCCTGCTTTCTCATGTTTTTTTCACCTGTCTGAGAACTGGAACATAGATGATGCTTGATGATGTGTTGGAAGAACTACAAGATGGAAGGAAATGGGGTCTCTGAATGATAGTGAGAAGTAAAACCACTCAGCTGGCTTGGACTGCTCACTCATGACTGTTACATGGGATAAAAATAAACATCTATGTTTTTTAAGACACTATATTTTGGGGACTGTTTATTTCTGTAGCCTAGCTTTTGCTCTAAATTATAAACTCATTTATTAATATTTTGTTTTGAGTTGTTTGCTGGATTTATTTTGTCAGATTCTTTCTTGTGCTAAATGGGTTTGAAATGACTTTGTACATTAAGGCAAATAATCTTTTCGTATACATAACTTCATTTGCCTTCAAATTCAATTCAGGCAATTATATTTCTCATATTGGCATAATGAGCAATGCATTTCTTCATTTTACTTAGTGAAATTTTCTATGCTAATATACCTAATACTGTTAACTAGAATACTGAAATAAATATTCTCTTTCTGCTTCTGCCATTAACTCATCTGTAAAATTAATTTCCAAGCCCTCTTCTAATCCTGTAAGTTCATGATTCATAATAGTTTTCATCATTGGAAAATTATGGGAATACAAAATCTAAGAGTTGCAATGTTAAACTACAAGAAGAAATAGATAAGTACAAGCTGAGCACCCATAATCTAAGAAATCTGAAATGCTCCAAAATCTGAAACATTTTGAGAGGGGTCAAGATGCCACAAGTGGAAAATTCTATACCTGACCTCACGTGATGAGTGGTAGTCACAACTTTGTTTCATGCACAAGATTATTTAAAATATTGTATAAAATTATTTTCAGGCTATATGAATAGGATGTATAAAAAAATAAATTTCATGTTTACACTTGGGTCTTATCCCAAGATACCTCATTATGTATATGCAAATATTTCCAAATCTGAAATACTTCTGGTCCCGGGCATTTTGGATAAAAAATATTCAGTCTGTATTATAGATTACCTAACTATTTTTGAAATTTCTGTATTTTTTGCTACATTTCTTAAGAGATTGACCATCTCTTCCTCTCTCTTTCAAAACTCTCAAATAGGATCAAAGGTCAGAAAAATATTAAAAATCAAGGACAAAAGTATTAGAAATGAGACTACAGCATAGAGAAGATCTCAGTAAATGTCTGGAAGCTGTAAATTAGATGGAAGAAAGGTAACTGAATAAGTTGATTACCATCTAAATGCTTATAGTTGGGGGCCTACTGATGTAAGCCAATCACGGTGCAGAGCCTATAAGAGACTCATCAATTGGAAGGCCTAGGTATTATGGAGAATGTCTCGCTTTCTTTAGCTTGCTGCAACAAACTACCATAGACTTGTGTTTTGTAAACACAGAAATTTATTTCTCACAGTTCTAGAGGCTGGGAATTCCAAGATCAGGACACAGGCAGATTCAGTGTCTGATAAGGGCCCACTTCCTGGTTCATCTTGTTGTGTTCTCAAGTGAATGGGTTGAGGAAGCTCTCTAGGGTCCTTTTATAAGGGCATTAATATCATTTATGAAGGCTTTTCCCTCATGATCTAATTACCTACCAAAGGTCCTACTTCCTACTACCATCACATTGGGGGTTAGGATTCCAACATCAAAATTTGGGGGGAACACATACACTCAGTTTATAGCAGAGAGCAATTATAGACCTTCCCCAACTCTCTAGAGACTATTGTTTTATTCAGGAGAAGGGGACACTAGGCATTTAAGAACACAGGAATGAGGTAAGCAGCTGAAAACATGGTTTTTGGTGAAAGACTATATACCCCACTGTGAGATCCTTAACCACCTCTTTTATTTCTGGAATTTCTGAAGTAATGTATCTAGGCAGGAAGTTCTGAATGACCCTAGAGAAAATACCAAGTATTCAAATTTGAATCTCTTTCCATGAAAAGTGCCATACATAATGAAAACCCATTTCATGGCCTACCATCATAAACTTTCAGAACAATAGGAATAAAGAAAAAAAATTCTAAAGTTTTCGTAAAGATAAAACAGGTCACAGTTTATGGGCCAGGCATGGTGGCTCACGCCTGTAATCCTAGCACTTTGGGAGGCTGAGGCGGGCAGATCATGGGATCAGGAGATCGAGACCATCCTGGCTAACATAGTGAAGCCCCGTCTCTACTAAAAATACAAAAAAATTAGCCGGGCGTGGTGGCGGGCGCCTGTAGTCTCAGCTACTTGGGAGGCTGAGGTAGGAGAATGGCGTGAACCTAACAGTCAGAGCTTGCAGTGAGCCAAGATTGTGCCACTGCACTCTAGCCTGGGCGACAGAGCGAGACTCCATCTCAAACAAAGAAACAAACAAACAAACAAAAAACAAAAAAAAACAGGTCACAGTTTATTTATGTTATTGTATATTGCAGAATTTCCTTCTTTTTCTAAGGCTTAATAGTATTCCAGTGTGTCACATTTTCATTATCTATTTACCTTACAATGAAAATATATGTTGTTTCCACATCTTGGCTATTGTGAATAATGCTATAATGAATATAGGAATGCTAATATATCCTCAAATTTCTGATTTCAATTCTTTTGAATAAATATCCAAAAGCTGGATTAGATGGTAGTGATCTTTGTAAGTTTTTGAGGTACCCCTATACTGTTTTCTATAGTGGCTGCACCACTTTGCATTTCTACCAACAGCATGCAAGGGTTCCAGTATCTCCCTATCCTTGACAATATTTATTGTCTTTTTATTTTTTAAAACCACCAACTTGACAGGTGTGAGGTGACATCTTACTGTGGTTTTGACTTGCATTTCCCTAATGGTTAGTGATGTTGGGCATTTTTTCATATATCCGTTGGCCATTTGTTTGTCTTCTTTGGAGAAATATCTATTCAAGTCCTTAGCCCAATTTTTAATAGAGTTATTCATTTTTTAACTATTGAGTCATGTTTATTCCTATATATTTTGGTGTTTTAACTCTTTATCAAATACATGGCTTGCAAATATTTTCTCCAATTCTATCGGTTATCTTTTTAGTCTCTTAATTGTTTCCTTTGCTGTGCAAGAGTGTTTTGCTTTAATGTAGTCCCACTTGTTTATTTTTGTTTCTGTTGACTGTGCTTTTGGTATAAAATCCATTAAATCATTGCCAAGACCAATGTTATAATGGTTTTCTGCTACATTTTCTTAAGTTTTCAGTCTTTTGTTAAAGTCTTTAGTCCATTGTGAGTTAATTTTTTTGTTAATTTTTTTCATGAAGGTGTTCTGCTACATTTTCTCAAGTTTTCAGTCCTTTGTTAAAGTCTTTAATCCATTGTGAATTAATTTTTTTGTATTTTTTTTCATGAAGGTATTCTGCTACATTTTCTTAAGTTTTCAGTCTTAAGTTTTTCAGTCCATTTTGAGTTAATTTTTTTGGTATGGTGTAAGAATCCAATTTCATTCTTTTCCATGTGGCTATCTGGTTTTCCCAACACCACTTGTTGACAAGATGATTCTTTCCCCCATTGTTCATTCTTGGCATCATTGTTGAAGATCAGTTGCATACATGTATGGATTTAATTCTAGGCTCTCCATTCGGTTCCATTGGTCTATACTTCAGTCTTTTTGCCAATATTATACTGTTCTGATTATTGTAGTTTTGTAACATATTTTGAAATCAGAAAGTGATGCCTCAAGCTTTGTTCTTTCTCAAGATTTATCTAGCCATTCGTGATCTTTTTTTTTGTGTGGGTTCCATATAAATTTTGAATTGTTTTTTCCATTTCTGTAAAAAGTCATTGGAATTTTGATAATGATCTTGCACAAAATCTGTAGATAACTCTGGGAAGAATGGACATTTTAACAATATTAAGTTTTCCAATACATAATCATGACCTGTCTTTCCATTTGGTTACATTTTGTTTAATTTCTTTCATTAATGTAGGTTGCAGCACACATGTCTTTTATCTCCTTAGTTAAGTTTATTCCTAGATATTTTATTATTTTGATGCTATTGTAAATGTAATTTTTCCTAGTTTTGTTTTCAGAAATTTTGTTGCTAGTGTGTAGAAATGCAACTCATTTTTGTATGTCCATTTTGTATCCTACAACTTTACTGAATTCATTTATTAGTTCTAAGAATTTTTATGGAGTCCTTAGGATTTTCTACATATAGAATCATGTAATCTACAAACAGGGATAATTTTACTTCTTTATTTCAGATTTTGATGTCTTTTATTCCTTTTTCTTGCCTAATTGTTCTGGCTAGGACTTCTAGTACTATATCAAAAAGAAATGGGAAAAGTGGACACCTTTGCTTTATTTCTGATCTTAGAGAAAATGCTCTTTGTTTTTTACCATTAAGTATAATGTTAGCTTGTCATTAAGTATAATGTGGGCTTGTCATGTATGGCCTTTATTATGTTGAGGTAATTTCCTTCTATTCTTAGTTTATTAAGAGTTTTTATCATTAAGTGTACTTAATTTTGTCTAATGCTTTTTCTGCATCTATTAAGACAATTGCGATATTCATCTTTTTTTCTGTTAATGTTGTGTAACGCATTAATTGATTTTCATATGTTGAATCTCCCTTGCAACCCAGAGATAAGTCTCAATTGATCATGGTGTGTGATCCTTTTAATGCGCTCTTGGATTCCATTTGCTAGTAGTTTTTAAAGGTTTTTTGCATCTATATTCATCAGGGATATTGGTCTGCAGTTTTCTTATGGTGTCTTTGTTGGGCTTTGGTGTCAGGGCAATGCTGGTTTCATAAAATTAGTTTGGAAGCGTTCCCTCGTCTTCAATTTTTAAGAAGAGCTTAAGAAATATTTGTGCTAATTCTTTAAATGATTGGTAGAATTCACCAATGAATCCGTCAGGTCTTGGGCTTTTGTTTTTTTGATTGGGAGGATTATCGATTCAATCTCCATACTAGTTATAGGTCTGCTCAGATTTTGTTTCTTTGTGATTTAGTCTTGGTAGGTTGTATGTTTCTAGAAATTTATTCATTTCTTTTAGGCTTTCTGGTGCACTGGCATGTAATTCTTCAGAATAGTATCTTATGGTTCATTTATATCTATGGTATTAATTGTAATGTTTCTTCTTTCATTGATGATTTTATTTAAGAGTCCTCTCTTTTTTTTCTTAGTTTAGATAACGGGTTATTAATTTTCTCTCTTCAAAAAACCAAGTCTTAGTTTCATTGCTTTTTTTTCTGTTTTCTATTTCTGTTTTCTCTACTCCAATTTTTGTTATTTCCTTCCTTTTGTTAACTTTTGACTTAGTTTGTTCTTTCTCTAGTTCCTTAAGGTGTAAAGTTAGGTTACATATTTGAGATCTTTCTTTTTTAAAAATGCAGGCATTTGTAACTATGAACTTCCTTCTTAGCACTGATATTGCATCCCATAAGTTTTGGTATGCTGTGTTTTGTTTTCATTTGTCTTGAAGTATGTTCAAATTTTCTTTTTGATTTCCTTTTTGACTCAGTGGTCATTCATGAGTGTGTTGTTAATCTCCACATATTTGTGAATTTTTCAGTTTTCCTCACGTTATTGACTTCTAGTTTTATTTCATTGTGGTCAGAAAAGATACTGGGTATAATTTCAATCTTTTTAAAATTTTGAAGTCTTGTTTTGTGAACTAACATGTAATCCACCTGGGAAATAAATTTATGTGTGCTTGAAAAGAATGTATATTGTGCTGCTGTTGAGTGAAATGTTCTGTATAGATCTGCTGTGTCCATTTGGTCTATGGTGTTATTCGAGACCTCTGTTTTCTTATTGATCTTCTAACTGGATGTTGTGTCCATTATTGAAAGTGGGATATTGAAATCTCCTACTGTTATTTTATTGCTGTCTATTTCTACCTTCAATTCTGTCAATGTTTGATTTATATATTTGATTGCTCTGAAGTGAACCAGTCCCTTCCCTTCCCTAGGTGAAACTGGGAGCTGAGAGTCTCTTCCGAATTGAAAGGTGCTGGATTGGGGGCAGGTTCTGTAGTGAGAGGGTGTCCTGGATCTCCCTACTGGTTTTGGCAAATCTGGTTTTACATTCTCCTGGGGTACAAAAACCTTTAAATTAGTTATTTATTTCTCACATAGGAAATTTGTCCATGAATTGTTGCTCAATTGGTGTATTTGGAGAAGGAGAGTTCAGGGTTCCTACTCCACCATGTTGCTGATGTCACTCCTTAATAACTCCAATACAGTTTCATTTTTAAACTATGAATGTGGACTTCTGTAATAAAATAAAGTTAATAATAGACATGGATAGACCAATATTTTGTATTTAGTTTCCAAAAATTCTTTTGAAGTAATCTTTGAAGCTTAAAATTATTGCCTATCCATTCAAAAGTTATTGCAAGAGCAATGGAACCATATTTTAAAATGTCTGTTTTAGCCCATTTTGTGCTACTATAACAGAATATCTGAGACTGGGTAATTTATAGTGAACAAAAATATATTGGTTCTTAGTTCTGGAGGCTGGGAAGCCCATGATCAGGGGGATGGCATCTTGTGAGGGCTTTCTTGCTGTGTCACTCCATGGCACAAAGGCAAGGAGAGGGCAAGAGGGAGCAAGAGAATAAACGCACTCTTGAGACCTTTCATAATTGACATTAATTTATTCATGAAGGGGGTTCTCTCATGACCTAGACATCTCCCATTAGGCCCCACCTCCCAATACTGTTGCAATGGAGATTACGTTTCCAACACATGTTTTTTTTGAAGACACACTCAAACCATAGCAATATCTTAGGTAGACTTCAAACTTTTAAAAATATTCATCTTAGGTCAAACACTATTTTTTGTTTTTTTCTAAAACTTTATCAATATTTCACTATCACTTAGCCACTGGTTTTCATTGAATGTTGAAACAACAACTGAAGTTCATAAAGTTCTTGGTAACTTGTCTCCTTATTCCATGTAAAGTAGTAAATAAATATTTTTTTTTCTTTTCTTTTTCTTCTTTTTTTTTTGAGATGGAGTCTTGCCCAGGCTGGAGTGCAATCGCGCAATCTTGGCTCCCTGCAACCTCCGCCTCCTGGGTTCAAGTGATTCTCCTGCCTCATCCTCCCAAGTAGCTGGGATTACAGGTATGCACCACCATGCCCGGCTGATTTTTGTATTTTTAGTAGAGATGGTGTTTCACCATGTTGGCCAGGCTGGTCTCAAACTCCTGACCTCAAGTGATCCACCTGCCTCAGCTTCCTAAAGTGCTGGGATTACAGGCGTGAGCCACTGTGCCCAGCCGTAAATAAATGTTTTAATGAATAAAGGTTCACTCTAAACAGAATCAAAGGGAGTTATGTATCTGATTTTTTTTTTGAAATTTTAACGTAATTGTTTTATTTTATTTATAATTTTAAATTTAGATTAATGGAGTACATATGCAGGCTTGTTACATGGGTATATTGCATGATGCTAAGGTTTGGGGAACTATTGATCCTGTCACTTAGTTAGTGGACATAGTACCCAGTAGTTAGTCTTTCAACCATTGTTCCCTTTCCTCCCTCCTCCTTTCTAGGAGTTCAGTGTCTATTGTCGCCATCTTGATGTCTATGAGTACCCAATGTTTGGCTACCACTTATAAGTGAGAACATGTGGTATTTGATTCTGTGCCTGTGTTAATTCACTTAGGATAATGACCTCTAGCTCCATCTATGTTGTGCAAAGAACTTGATTTTATACTTTTTTATGGCTCTGTAGTATTCCATGGTGTGTATATATATCACATTTTCTTTATCCCATCCACCATTCATGAGCATGTAGGTTGATTCCATGTCTTTGCTATTGTGAATAGTGCTGCCATGAACATGTAAGTGTGTGTGTCTTTTTGGTAGAACAATTTATTTTACTTTAGGTAGATACCCAGTAATGGGATTGTTGGGTTGAACGATGGTTCTGTTTTAAGTTCTTTGAGAACTCTCCAGACGGCTTTCCATAGTGGCTGAACTAATTTACATTCCCATCAACAGTGTATAAGCATTCTCTTGTTTCTGCAGCCTTGCCAGCATCTGTTATTTGGCTTTTTAATAATAGCCATTGTGATTGGTGTGAGATAGTATCTCACTGTGGTTTTGATTTGCATTTCTCTGATGATTAGCAATGTTGAACATTTTTTCATATGTTTTTTGGCTGCTTGAATGTCTTCTTTTGAGAAATCAAAAGAATTTTTTTCGCCCTTTGCCCTTGCCCTTGTTAACAGAGTTATTTGTTTTTGCTTATTGAATTGTTTCTTATAGATTCTGAATATTAGACTATTTTTAGGTGCATAGTTTGCAAATATTTTCTCCCATTCTGTAGGTTTTCTGTTTACTCTGTTAATAGTTCCTTTTACTGTGCAGTAGCTCTTTAGTTTGATTAGGTGCCACTTGTCAATTTTTCTTTTTGTTGCAATTGCTTTTGAGGACTTAGCCATAAACTATTTCCCAAGGCTGATGTCCAGAATGGTGTTTCCCAGATTTTCTTCTAAGATTGTTATAGTTTGAGGTCTTACATTCAAATCTTTAATCCATCTCGAGTTAATTTTTGTATGTGGTGGAAGGCAGTGGTCAAGTTTCATTCTTCTGCTTATGGCTAGTCAGTTATTCCTTGTCATTTATTGAATAGGGAGCCCTTTCCTAATGGCTTACTTTTGTTGATTTTGTTGGTTGTAGGTATGCAGCTTTATTTATGGGTTCTCTATTCTGTTCCATTCGTCTATGTATCTGTTTTTATACCAATACCAAACTGTTGTGTTTACTGTTGCCTTATAGTATAGTTTGAAGTCAGGTAATTTAATGCCTACAACTTTGTTCTTTTTGCTTAGGATTGCTTTGGCTATTTGGGCTCTTTTTCGGTTCCACATGAATTTTAAAACAGTTTTTTCTAATTCTGTGAAAAATTACATAGTAGTAAATCTGTAGCTTGCTTTGGGCAGTATGTGCATTTTAATTATACTGATTCTTCCAACCCATGAGCATGGAATGTTTTCCATTTGTTGGTGTCACTATAATTTCTTTCAGCAGTGTTAGAGATCTTTCATCTCTCTTGTTAGATGTATTCCTTGGTATTTTATTCTCTTGTGTGGCTATTATAAATGACATTGCATTCTTGATTTGACTTTCAACTTGAACATTAGTATATAAAAATGCTACTGATTTTTGTACATTGATTTTTACCCTGAAAATTACCGAAGTTGTTTATCAGTTCCAGGAAACTTTTGGCAGAGTCTTTAGGGTTTTCTAGGTATAGAATCATATGAGTGAAGAGAGGTAGCTTGACTTCTTCTTTTCTTATTTTAGTGCCTTTCATTTCGTTCTCTTTCCTGATTGCTCTGGGTTGGACTTCCAGTACTATTTTGAATAAAAGTGTTGAGAGTTACCATCCTTGTCTGGTTCTAGTTCTCAAGGGAAATGTTTCCAGTATTTGCCTTTTCAATATGATGTTGGCTTTGGATTTGTGATAGATGGCTCTTATTATTTTGAGGTATGTTCTTCAATGCCTAGTTTATTGAGGGTTTTTATCATGATAGGACATTAGATTTTATTACAAGCTTTTTCTGTGTCTATTGAGATGATGTATCTCATTCTTATTATTTGGGCATAAGTTTCATAACTTTTAGCAATTGTTAAATTACTTGCTCTTTCTTTCAATCCTTTGTTCTCTATAATCTTGCTATGCTCCCTGAATAGAATATCTTTTCCACCATTTCCCTCTTGACCCATATTTATGCCTCTCTTAAACATCCATTTAAATAAATTTTCTTCATCAAGTCCACTTGAATAGCTCTACTCCACACTGATCATTCCATTATTCCATTTCTCTTAGCACTGATGTGCTGTATTACATTAATTTGTACCTGTTTTCATGTCATCTTTGCATGTGTTGTTATGTCTTTTCATCTGCATTTTGTTCCCCTATTATATTGTAAATTCCCTGAGAATGAGGACAATGTCTTTAACTTCATTTGCATATCTCCATGGCATCCAGCAGAGAATGTCATTAGAAAGCAGCACTCATTAAATCAAATTTTCACTGACAAAATTCATGTCTAGGCTGAAAAAATATGGCTTATGCAGCACTCAATATAGTTGTTATGCATGTTTTCTCTTAAGAGGTCTTTGAGAAATATACATACACAATATTATGTAGAAAATACATGGCTAATGGCTTCATTAAATGCTTGCAAGCCAGTGTACTAAAATATAAAAATTTTTAAGTGGCTTGTAACAAAATATCATTTATTTATTTATATATATATATATAAATGCAAAGTTTAGAGAAATAATATTAATTTATTCTTTTCAATAATATTCAAAATGAACAACAAAATTTTGTATTATATTCTTCCCCCCATCTTAAAAAGTTATGTTAGCCCGACTTTATCTATTTATACAAAAATGTATATTAGAAATTATGGAATTACTAACAGACTTGGCTTTCTGTGGTTTCCAGAATATATAGATAACCTCTTTAATTTTATTTTTTAGAAACTTGCCTAAACCTTCCTTTTTAATCCCATCAAAATTATGAAAAATTCTGAGCTCCAGAATTCTTCTTATTATTTTCTAAACATAGAGATTTTAAAATATTAAAGCTGGAAGAGTTTATTAAGTTCAAACAATTTCCAAATATGGTGGAGCAAAAGAATCAAGAAGGAATTAAAACTGAAGATCTCAATCCCCATTCCTAGCAATTATCATTTAGGAGGCAGGGCCTAGAAGTCTCTAATTTAACAAGTACCCTATGTGTTTCTAATGTGTTAGGAAATCCATGATTTAGTTCAGTTTCTTCATTGCAGATATAAATAAATGACAGTATACATGCACATGTGTATTGTGTGTGTATATGTATGGATGCATTGTAAATGTCATGCTGGTGCTCTAGAATTCTGACTTCTGAGCCCCTTCCTCCCACATCCCCCATATTTGTGGCATAGTGCCACCTATATCTTTTGGCAGTCCCATTTTCAAGGCTTTGCATACATTCTTTCCCACCTGGAATGTCCTCTCTTCCTCTCTGCCAAACCAGTCTTTAAGACACGTATCTACTATGATGCTTTCTTTGATATTATGCTCATACAGCCATCATTCTTTACTACATTCCTTGTTGAACCATTTATCTGACACTATTCATGTGTCCTTGGCATGAAAATTATTTGTGGATAATATTGAATTCTACTGTGGCCTGTTACCATCCAGCTTATTAGAAATTCTACCATTGGGAAAATACACCTAGTAATGGCAAATAAGTCCCTACTTATTTTAGGTGCTTTAACAATCAGACAACTGCATTAATAAACTGATGTAATCTGAAAGTACCCTGAGGTCTCAGTTTCTTAGAAAAGTAATTCTCAAACTTTAATTCATGGGCAAATCACCTACAGTTGGAATCTTAGTCTGGTCTGATGGTAGTTTAATATACACTCATATTGTGTTATTATTATTTAGCTTTTGTTTAGATTTTTGTCTCTCATTAAATATAACAAGGAGTTTTATCTTTTCCATATCCTCCATAGCATCTAGTGTATCATATACATAATAAATTATTTATGAATAAATTCATCAAAAACTACTACATAACTTTCTGATTTTAAATTTTTTTGTTGAAGAACACTTTTTTTCAACTTTTATTTTAAGTTCAGGGGTCCATATGCAGGATGCGTTACACCGGTAAATGTGTGCCATGGTGATTTGCTGCACAGATCATCCCAATTCATAGGTATCAAGCCCAGCATCCATTAGCTATTCTTCATGATGCTCTCCCTCCTCCCACCATCTACCCTCTGACAGGCCCTAGTGTGTGTTGTTTCCCCTGACCATGTGTCCATGTGTTCTCATCATTTGGCTCCCAATTATAAAAGAGAACACCCAGTATTTAGTTTCCTGTTCCTGTGTTAGTTTGCTGAGGATAATGGCCTCCAGCTTCATCCATGTTCCTGCAAAGGACATGATCTTGTTCCTTTTTATGACTGCATAGTATTTCGTGATGTATATGTACCACATTTTCTTTATCCAGTCTATCATTGATGGGCATTTAGGTTGATTCCATGCCTTCGTTATTGTGAATAGTGCTGCAATGAACATATCATGTATCTTTGTAAAAGAATGACTCATATTCCTTTGGGTATATACCCAGTAATGGGACTACTGGGTCAAATGATATTTCTGCCTCTAGGTCTTTGAGGAATTGCCACACTGTTTTCCACAATGGTTGATTTATTTTACACTCCCGCCAACAGTGTAAAAGTGTTCCCTTTCCTCCATAACCTTGCCAGCATCTGTTATTTTTTGACTTTTTAATAATAGCCTTTCTGAAGGGCATGAAAGAACACTTAAAGCATAAGAGTTTGATTAGGAGAAATCTGAAATGCACCATAGAAAATTCTTATTCTTTTGGTTAAGCCAACAATAAAAGGTAAGAAAAAGGTAAAATATGTTATTCTTATAAAATAAAACACCACAATGTATGAAGAATGGGTTTTCTTTTGCTACAACAACTTCTGTTTATTTAACTATTTCTATGAAACTTGCCAATTAAATTACCAGAGACTTTACAAAATCAACCATTCTAGGTTTTGGAATTTAGAATAATATTCACTCATGAAGTATTAATGAGTGAATACTAGAATAAATACTCCTATCTTAACTGGTTTCAGACTTTAACTAAACTGTTAGTACATCAGATAGTCCTGTTTCTTAAAAAAGCTTTGATGGAATCAGTGGTAGAAGATACTCCTCCCTATTGAAATGCTGCTGATCAACTTGCATTTTTATAAAAGCAACTTAATGCCATGTTCGACTGTCTGAAGTTTAATTAATCACCAAAGTAGTTGATTATGTTCTATCGGACAAATGTGCAAGGTTTTTAAACTATTATAATATAATACACTTAGAGTAGAACTTCCCTTGCCTAATTTCTATGCCTTTCCTTGGCAACAAATTAGATACTTTTGAAGATCCACCAACTTTTTCAGATTTTTAGGGCTCAGCCATGGACTGTCATAGTTTTCGTCAAGAATTTTTTTTGGATTAGGGCTCAAAATTTTACTTGCTATAATTACAAACATTACTCTTCTCAGTTAATGAACATATGGCTACATCAGTGTAGCTTGAATCCATTTATAAATATTCTTTATATAATTTGAATTGTGTATAGAGAATAAACAACCAATAAAATTTCAATCATATATTTTAAAAATTTGCTTTAGGTGCTCACTAAAATGATAAAGCATTAGTTTTGTTTATAGATTCCATTTTTATGGGGAAACAGTTTTCAATTTACTAGATAACTTTTTTCCTTGCTTATAATCATTTTGTTAGCTACAATGGACAACATCCCTGAGATACAAGTTCGTATTGTCATCTTAATTTTGTGGTTATCTCTGAGCTCAAGTTTAGGGCAATATGCATGCTGGTATAAGTGTCTACAAATTTTCTGTATTCTCATGCTATTACCCAAGCACTCTGTTCCATATTTGACAACAGCTTCCTCTAAATCATACTTACATGCTGATTTCTGTATGTCTTCTAGGTGTAAAGTTATAGCACATATTTATTGTTTCATTAAACATGTGTCCCAAGATAATTTCATTCTTAACATTCAGTGACAAGAAGAGTCCTTGCTCGTATGTCTGATTCTACTAGAGTTTTAATCTTGTGCCCTTTCCACCTATCCTATTTTCTTTCTTCCCCTGACATAGAAATTCTCTCTTGTTCATAAATGAATTTCATGTTCTCAGACGCAAGGAGGAGTTTTAGAAGAAAGATAAAGAACCTGAGAGACAGGCAACATGGGAGAGGGCTCAGGGCACAAACCCTGCAGTTGTGTGGCCTAAGTAGTAACAGGCTCTGCCGTTAATAGATGCGTACCTTAGGAAAGTTACTTACCTTTTTGTGTCTCAGTTCCTCCATCTGTAAAATGGGAATAAAAACAGAATTTTCTTCATAAGGCTGTTCTACTAATAAAATGAATTATTATTTGTTAAAGCCCTTAGAAATATGACTGGCATAGAGTGGTATATAAATAGACAAACATCAGGTGTTATGGGTTATTAAAATGAACGATGGAGAAATGACTGATTATGGTTTCAAGACTTCACACCACCTTAAGAATTTGAATCATTGTAATATGGAAACTTGTACAGACAATCAAGGTCCCTATATTTAATACACTTCCTTCCTTTGTTGCTTTAATTTATTTATTATACAGCGGTAAACAGATTGCAACAGTTAATTTTGGTACCTCAGAATGGTTGCTAAGAGAGACAAATACTCTTCTCATTGGAAGTCACTAAGTCCATCTTGTAAATAAATATGGAAATAATACCTATTTGAGGAATCTCTTGGACAATTCTACAAGATTCTTTGTCTGAAAATTCCTGTAAATAAATAGCTAACAATTTGCTTAATAATTGAGTCATTATATACATCAATGTATATCATTATGTATATCAATTGTTAGCCAACAATTTGCTAATGAGTGAGTCATTATGTATATCTGGTTATTACTGACACAGGTGAACACGCTTTTCCAAAACCATGCCTTTCTCTCAGGTATGGCAAAGTCTGAAACATCCATGCAAACATTTAAATACCAGTCCCTGTCTTTTAGACATTTTGCAATCATTTGAAGTAGGTTTCCAAACCAGCGATTCTCTAGAAAAGTATCTTATGAAATGCCAATATCAGTGTCAAAAGCTACAGAGATAGTATACCAAATTTAGGCTGCCTGTTTTCATGTTTTGATTGCAGCATTATATATTCTTTGCCCCCAAAATATATTTTTGTATATGGAAAACAAAAGCTATAGTGAAATTTAAATCTCCAATGAAAAAAGCATGGCAGCTGAAAAAACAGAGTTTAAAATTTTTTTGGTGACAGATAGAGGTCCAGCTTCAACCTTCTGCATATGGCTAGCCAGTTATCCCAGCACCGTTTATTGAATAGGGAGTCCTTTCCCCGTTGCTTGTTTTTGTCAGCCTTGTTGAAGATCAGATAGTTGTAAGTGTACGGCTTTATTTCTGAGTTTTCTATTCTGTTCCATTGATCTATGTGTCTGTTTTTGTACCGGTACCATGCTATTTTGGTTATGTGGCTTTACAGTAAACTTTGAAGTCCAGTAGTGTGATGCCTCCAGCTTTGTTCTTTTTGCTTAGGATTGCTTTGGTTATTTGAGCTCACTCTTTCTTGGGCTCATAGGAATTTTAGAATAGTTTTTCTCATTCTGTGAAGAATGATATTATTAGTTTGGTCTGTATATTGCTTCGGGCAAAGCAATTTCTCAAAGAAATTAAAACAGAGCTATGATTTAACCCCACAATGCTATTTTATAATATTGATTCTTCCAATCTATGAACATGGAATGTTTTTTCTTTTATTTGCATAATCTCTGATATTTTTAAACAGTGTTTTATAGTTCTCCTGTAGAGATGTTCAAGATGTTTCACCTCCTTGGTTAGCTGTATTTCTAGGTATTTCATTTTCTTTGTGGCTATCGTAAGTGGGATTGTGTTCTTAATTTCACTCTCCGTCTGGATGTTGTTGGTGTATAGAAATGCCACTGATTTTTGTACATTCCTTTTGCATCCTGAAACTTTGCCAAAGTTGTTTATCAATTCTGGGAGCCTTTTAGCAGCATCTTTAGAATTTTCTAGGTATAGAATCATATTGTCAGCAGAGATGGTTTGACTTCTTTTTCTATTTGGGTGTCTTTTATTTCTTTCTCTTGACTCATTGGTCTGGCTAAGACTTCCAGTACTATGTTGAATAGGAATGGTAAGAATGGGCATTCTTGTTTTGTTCCAGTTCTCAAGGTTCTGGAATGGTTAGAGATTTTGCCCATTCAGTATAATTTGGCTGTGGGTTTGTGATAGAGGGCTTTTATTATTTTGAGTTATGTTTCTTCAACGCTTAGTCTGTTGAGGGTTTTTATCAAGAAGCATGTTGGATTTTATGGAAAGATTTTTCTGTGTCTATTGAGATGATCACATGGCTTTTGCTTTTGATTCTGTTTATGCGGTGAATCACATTTATTGGTTTGTGTAACTCAAAATGGATTAAAAATTTAAATGTAATATCTCAAACTATAAAAATCCTGGAAAAAAACCTAGAAAATACTCTTCTCAACACTGGTCTTGGCAAGGAATTTTTGGCTAAGTCTCCAAAAACAATTGCAGTAAAACCAAAAATAAATGAGTGGGACCTAATTAAACTAAAGAGCTTCTGCACGGCAAAAGAAACTATAAACAGAGCAAACAGACAACCTACAGAATGGCAAAAAATATTTGCAAACTATGCATCCGATAAAGGCCTAATATACAGAATCTATAGGTAACTTACACAAATGAACAAGCTAAAAACAACCACATTAAAAAATGGGCAAATGACATGAACAGTCACACAGACACTTCTCAAAAGAAGACGTACAAGTGGTCAAGAAATGTATGAAAAAAGGCTCAGCATCACTAATCATCAGAGAAATGCAAATCAAAAACACAATGAGATACCATCTTACACCAGTTAGAATGACTGCTATTAAAAAGTCAAAAAACAACAGATGCTGGTGAGGCTTCAGAGCAAAGATAATGCTTATCCATTGTTGGTGGGAACATAGATTAGTCCAGCTGCTGTGGAAAGCAGTCTGGAGATTTCTCAAAGAGCTTAAAATAGAGCTATGGTTCAACCCCACATTGCCATTACTAAGTATATACTCCAAAGAAAAATAAATCATTCTACCCAAAAACACATGCACTTGTATGTTCATCACTGTATTACTCACAATAGCAGAGACATGGAATCAATCCAGGTGCCCATCAGTGGTAGATTAGATAAAGAAAATGTGGCACATATACACCATGGAATACTATGAAGCCATAAAAATGAATGAAATCATATCCTTTGCAGCAACATGGATAGAGCTGGAGGCCATAATCCTAAACAAATTAACATAGGAACAGAAAACCACATGTTCTCACTTATAAGTGGGAGCTAAACATTGAGCACCCATGGACACAAATATGGGAACAATACACACTGTGGGCTACTAGAGGGTGAAGGAAGGTGGGATGGGTTAAAAAAACTACCTATCAGATACTATGCTCACTATCTGGGTGATGAGATCCATACTCCAACCTCAGCATCACACAATATTTCCATGTAACAAATCTGCACATGTACCTCCTGTATCTAAAATAAAAGTTGAAATTGAAAAAAAAAATTAAGAGCAAAAATATACTCTGACTCATGAAAAAATATACCTTGGATGTATAAATTTCAGTTTCTTCTCTTGGCAAATTCTATTTTATCCCTACTACTTTATTTTCCGTATGAATGGTCCTAGGAATACTAGAAATGCTAAAGGCACACAAATATTTTTCTGTAATTAAAATGTGCAAGACTGTTGTACTGTTGTAATGAAATCCTTTTCAATTATAGGCTTACATACTTATGTTCAATGAAGAGAATGACAACTAATATAATCTAATTTATACCTTAAATATGTTTGTGGTGCTTTTTGAAAGAAAGAATATGTGTGTATGATATACAAACATCCTCATCAATTTAGTATAAATCCCATAAGCTTGCGGATGAAATCATTTAGCTAGTCCAATAAAGATATTATAATAATACACTGTAACAGTGAACAGTACCTGACTCTACATGCCTTAGTTCATCCCTTAGAGATTAGAAGCTTGAGGATCCATCTGTTAAAAACGTATGTATGAAAAGGGATCATGAATGATTAGACTGCTGCCACAAAGCAGGTTAAGAAAATTCTGTAATGACAGGACCTTAGGCTGAATTTCCAGGGGTATCAAGCCACTGATGCTTTTTGACCCTAGTCTATGGGGAACTAAACCTATGCCAGGTATCCCAAGACCATGAGGTAAAGGACTAGTAACTGGGAATGAATATAATTTTGGTTACAGAAAATCAGTACACTCAAAGAAGCATGAAAGAGACTGCTATTTCTGTGAAAGAAGCTTGGGAGAAGCCTAATTTCCAGGTGGCTATTTTTTTAAATGCTTAGATGTATCCCAAGTTTATATTTAAGAGGCTCAATCTTGTATTTAAGCAAAGTATAAAGAATCTGTAGCAAAACCTCATAAATAATAAACAAGTAATGTTCTATCAAAATATAATTTTGTATGTAAATGATACAACATATAGATAAGTCAAAATATAATTAAGGGTCCTCAGAAACCTCAGTAGATAGTTGTACCTTGGAATGCACTATAAGAAGGTAATTTATACTCGATAATAGAGTTCAGTGTAGATATTTGTTAAATTTTGTGGCATGTGGGACAATTGGGATGATTTTTCTATGGCTGATTTGCTGGTAAGAAAGATGATCTTTGAATGTCTAAAATGCTTATCTTCTCATCTAAATAAATAATTTTAATCTAAACCCATGTGAATGTGTGTCTTCATTTTAACAGTATATTATGAAATAGCAGTATATTTCTTTAATCAAAATGGTGTAATTTTAGGCTGGTGAAGAGTAATTAAATCTTCCCCCAGTTGAAGATACAGTAATTACAACTGTGAAGATAACTTGTTGTTTTATTTAACTACCTATGTCACAAAACTAAATGTTATCAGGTTACAAAAATTATTCAAAAGAAAATAGTCTTTGTTACTATAAAACTTTACTGAATAAGAAGCCAAATCACTAGGCGTGTTTTATATCACCAAACTACAGATGCTCTCCTTGTTATACCCTGCAGCAATTTTTTAGGCATTCCATATGGCTATCAGAACTATTAGCAAAACATGCAAAAAATTGTTGTATGAAGAAAAACTGAGTAACTCAGGCAGATAATTTACATGTCATAAGTGTCACTCAAATAAGAAATTTTATGACATGATTTCAATTAAATAATTGTATGGTGAATTTTAATTCCAGTTGCAAAATTCATTGAGTGATTTTAATTTTGAAATTAGATTAAGAAACATAAAAACTCACAGTCTTCCAGAGATAATTTTTTTTTAGATCTTAGGCTGATGAATAAGCTATAATTTTCATAGTTATGCAGGTAGATACTTGTTAATATAAATAGAAAATTATATTAACCTATAATTCTATTCAATGAGGAGTTATATATATTCAGATAATTATGCTAGTTTTATTAAATAAATAAAATCTGGTAAATGAGAAATCTGATTGGATTGACATATACATAATCTACACACAATCAGAAGTTCTATTAATAGTATATTTGGAAAAGAGCACAGGACTTAGAATGCAGAGAAATTGAGGACTTACCTAAGCTCCTTTACTTGGAATCAAACCTGGAGCCAATTATTCAGCTATTAAAGCTTAAATTTCTTCATTGTGGAAATTTGGTAAATGGGTTATATGATCTTTAAAATTCCATCCAGTTCTAACATTTTATAATTCTGCTTATCTTCCATTTTATATTTGTATTTTTTAAATATTTAAATGTTTAATTTTGGGGGGTACATAGTAAGTGTATATATTCGTGGAGTACTTGAGATGTTTTGATATAGGCATGAAATACACAGTAATTACATCATGGAGAATTGGAGTATCCACCCTTTCAAGCATTTATCCTTTGTGTTACAAACAATCCAATTATACTCGTTTAGTTATTTGAAAATGTACAATCAAATTATTATTGACTATAGTTACCCTGTTGTGCTATCGAATAGTAGGTCTTATTCATTCTTTCTATTTTTATTTGTATCCATTAACCATCTCCACTTCTCCCCCTACCCCACTACTACCCTTCTCAGCCTCTGGTAACCATCCTTTTGCTCTCGATGTTAATGCATTCAACTGTTTTGATTTTTAGATCCCACAAATAAGTGAGAACATGTTATAATTGTCCTTCTGTGTCTGGCTTATTTCACCTAACATAATAATCTCCAGTTCCATCATGTTATTGCAAATGACAGGATCTCATTCTTTTTTTATGGCTGAATAGTACTCCACTGTGTATAAGTACCACATTTTCTTTATAGGTTCATCTATTGATGAACACATAGGTAACTTCCAAATCTTGGCTATTGTGAACAGTGCTGCAGTAAACATGAGAGTGAAGATATCTCTTTGATATACTGGAAAAGAGCCCAGGACTTTTCTTTCTTTTGGGTGTCTATCCAGAAGTGAGATTGCTGGATCATATGGTAGCTCTATGTTTCGTTATTTGAGGAAACTCCAAACTGTTCTCCATAGTGGCTGTACTAATTTATATTTCCACCAATAGTGTTTCAGGGTTCCCTTTTCTCCACATCCTTTCCAGCACTGGTTATTGCCTGTCTTTTGAATATAAGCCATTTTAACTGGGGTGAGATGATGTCTCATTGTAGTTTTGATGTGCATTTCTCTGATGGTCAATGATGTTGAGGACCTTTCATATGCCTGTTTGCCATTTGTATGTCTTCTTTTGAGAAATGTCTATTCAAATAGTTTGCCCATTTAAAAAATCAGATTCTTAGATTTTTTTCCCCTATAGAGTTGTTTGAGCCCCTTATATATTCTGGCTTTTTATTCCTCTTTAGATTGGTAGGTTGAAAATATTTTCTCCCATTCTGCGGGTTGTCTATTCACTTTGCTTATTTGTTTCCTTTGCTGTGTAGTTTTTTCACTTGATGTGATCCCATTTTTCCATTTTTGCTTTGGTTGCCTGTGCTTGTGGGGTATTACTCAAGAATTTTTTGCCCAGATCAATGTCCTGGAGAGTTTCCCCAACGTTTTCTTGTAGTAGTTTCATAGTTTGAAGTCTTAGATTTAAATCTGTAATAATTTTGATTTGATTTTTGTATATGGTGAGAGATAGTGGTCTAGTTTCATTTGTCTACATATGGATATCCAGTTTTACCAGCACCATTTATTGAAGAGACTATCTTTTCCCCAGTGTATGTTGTGGTGCCTTTGTCAAAAATGAATTCACTGTAGTTATGTGGATTTGTTTCTGGGTTCTCTACTCTGTTCCATTGGTCTATGTGTATTTTTTTGCTAGTACCGTGCAGTTTTGTTTACTATAGCTCTGTAGTATAATTTGAAATCAGGTAATGTGATTCCTCCAGTTTTATTCTTTTTGCTTAAGATAGTTCTTTGGCTATTTTGGGTCTTTTGTGGTTCCATATAAATTTTAAGATAGTTTTTTTCTATTTCTGTGAAGAATGTCATTGGTATTTTCATAGAGATTGCCTTGAATCTGTAAATTGCTCTGTGTAGCATGAACATTTAAAAAATATTGATTCTTCCAATCCATGAAACGTAGACTATCTTGCAATTTTTTGGTTTCCTCTTCAATTTTTTTCAACAGTGTTTTATAGTTTTCATTATAAATATCTTTCACTTCTTTGGTTAAGTCAATTCCTAGGTATTTAATTCTATTTGTGGCTATTGCAAATGGAATTACTTTTTAATTTCTTGTTCATGTTGTTCACTGTTGGCATATGGAAATGCTAATGATTTTTGTATGTTGACTTTGTTTCCTGCAACTTTACTGACTTTATGTATGAGTTCTAATAGTTTTTTGTAGAGTCTTTAGGTTTTTGCAAATAAAAGATTATATAATCTGCAAACAAGAATAACTTGTCTTCTTCCTTTCCAATTTGGATGCCCATTATTTCTTTCTCTTGTCTGATTGCTCTAGCTAGAACCTCCAGCACTATGTTGAATAACAGTGATGAAAGTGGACATCCTTGTTGTGTTCCAGATCTTAGAGGAAAGACTTTCAGTTTTTCTTCATTCAGTATAATACTATCTGTGGGTCTGTTGTATATTGCTTTTATTATGTTGAGGTATATTCCTTCTATATCCTGTTTTTTCAGGGTTTTTATCATAAAGAATGTTGAATTTTATCAAATGACTTTTCAGCATCAATTGAAATGATCCTATGGTTTTATCCTCCATTATGTTGATATGATGTATCATATTGAATGATTTGCATATGTTGAATCATCCTTGCATCCCAGGGATAAATCCCACTTGGTCGTGATGAATTATATTTTTAATATGTTGTTGAATTTGGTTTGCTAGTATTTTGTTGAGGATTTTTGCATCAACATTCATCAGAAATATTGGTCTTTAATTTTTTTTTTATATGGCTTTGCCTGGTTTTGGTATCAGGGTAATACTGGTCTCATAGAATAAGTTTGGAAGTATTCCATCCTCCTCTATTTTTTAGAATAGTTTAAGTAGGATTGTATTAGTTCTTCTTTAAATGTTTGGTAGAATTCAGCAGCAAAGCCATTAGGTCCTTGACTTTTCTTTACTGGAAGACTTTTTATTATGGCTTCGAGCTTGTTACTTGTTATGGGTCTGCTCAGATTTTGGATTTCTTCCTGACTGAATTTGATTGTATGTGTTTAGAAATTTATTCACTTCTTCTAGATTTTCCAATTTATTGGTATATAGTTGCTCATAGTAGCCATTAAAGATACTTTGAATTTCTGTAGTATGTATTGTAATGTCTCCTTTTTCATCTCTGATTTTATTTATTTGGATCTTCTCTCTTTTTTCTTAGTTGGTCTGAATAATGGTTTGTCAATTTTGTTTAACTTTTCAAAAACGAACTTTTTGTTTTATTGATCTTTTGTATTGTTTTCTTTATTTCCATTTTATTTATTTCTGCTCTGATCTTTATTATTTCTTTTCTTCTAATTTGGGGTTGGGTTTGCTCTTGATTTTCTAGTACTTTAAGATGCATCATTAGATTGTTTATTTGAAGTTTTTCTTCTTTTTTGATGTAGGCACTTATAGCTGTAAAATTCCCTTTTAGTACTGATTTTGCTGTATCCCATAGGTTTTGGCATGTTGTGTTTCCATTATCACTTGTTTCAAGAAGTTTTTCAATTTCCTTCTTACTTTCTTCATTGACCCACTGGTCATTCAGGAGCATATTGTTCAATTTCCATGTATTTGTATAGTTTCCAAGATTCATCCTTTTATTGATTTCTAGTTTTATTCCATTGTGGTCAGAGATGATCCTTGATATTATTTCAATTTTTTTGAATGTTTTAAGATGTGTTTTGTTACCTAACATATGGTCTATTCTTGGAAATGACCCATGTGCTGAGGAAAAAAATGTGTATTCTGCAGCCATTGGATAAAATATTCTGTAAATATTTATTAGATCCATTTGGTCTATAGTTCAGATGAAGTCTGATGTTTCTTTGTTGATTTTCTCTCTAGAAGACCTGTCTGATGCTGAAAGTCAGGTGTTGAACTCTCCAGCTATTATTGTATTGTAGTCTATCTCTTTCTCCTAGTTATATAATATTTCCTTTATATATCTGAGTGCTCTAGTGTTGGGTGCATATACATTTACGATCGTTATATTGTCTTGCTGATTGACCCCTTTATCATTATTATAGTGAACATGTTTGCCTCTTCTTATAGTTTTTGTCTCAAAATCTCATTTTTCTAATATAAGTATAGTGACTTCTGCTCTTTTTTGGTTTCCATCAGCATGGACTATATTTACCCATCCCTTTATGTTCAGTCTACATGTGTCTTTATAGGTGAAGTGTGTTTCTTGTAGGCAACAAATCAATGGACCTTGTTTTTTATCCATACAGCCACCTTATGTCTTTTGATTGGAGAATTTAGTCTGTTTACATTCAATGTGATTACTAATAAGTAAAGACTTACTTTTCCTATTTTGCTATTTGTTTTCTGGTTCTTTTGTGACCTTCTCTTCCTTCTTTTTTTCTTTCCTGTCTTTCTTTAAATGAAGATGGTTTTCTCTGGTGATATGATTTAGTTTCTTTCTTTTTATTTTTTGTGTATCCATTGCATGATTTTTTGGTTAGAAATTATCATGATTCTTGAAAATACTGTATTATAACCCATCATTTTAAGCTGATAACAACTTAACACTGTTTGCATAAATAAGCAAACGAGCAAAAAAAAAAAAAAAAAAAACTAATAAAAATTCTACACCAAGCTTGTCCAACCTGTGGCCTGCAGGTTGCATGTGGCCCAGGATGGCTTTGAATGTGGCCCAACACAAATTTGTAAACTTTCTTAACATGATATGAGGTTTTTTTTGTGATTTTTTTTTTTCTTATCAGCTATTGTTAGTGTTAATGCATTTTTATGTATGACCCAATACACAAATTTCTTCGAATGTGGCCCAGGGAACTCAAAAGATGGATTACCCCAATCTATGCCTTAACTTCACCTCCCCGTTTTTTTGAACTTTGTGTTGTTTATGTTTATATATTTATATCTTATTGTACTCTCTGTGTCTTGAAAAGTTGTTGTTGTATTCCCAGGCAAGATGGCCAAATAGAAACACCTCCGGTCTGCAGATCACAGTGAGACCAATGCAGAAAGCAGGTGATTCTGGATTTCCAACTGAGGTACCCAGCTCATCTCATTGGGACTGGTTAGACAGTGGGTGCAGTCATTGAAGGGTGAGCAGAATCAGGGTGGGATGTCACCTCACTTGGGATGTGCAAGGGGTCAGGGAACTCTCTCCCCTAGCCAAGGGAAGTCATGAGAGACTGTGGCATGAGGGACAGTGCTATCCAGCCCAGATACTATGCTTTTCCCATGGTCACACCACAAGGGCCCTGGATTTCAAGCACAAAACTGGGCAGTCATTTGGGCAGACACTGAGCTAGCTGCAGGAGTTTTTTTTATACCCCAGTGACACCTGGAATGCCAGCAAGAAAGAACCATTCACTCCTCCTGGAAAGGGGGCTGAAGCCAGGGAGCCAAGTGGTCTTGCTCAGCAGATCCCACCCCTACAGAGCCCAGCAAGCTAAGATCCACTGGCTTGAAATTCTCACTGCCAGCACAGCAGTCTGAAGTCGACCTGGGACACTTGGTGCGGGGAGGGTCATCCACCATTACTGGGGCTTGAGTAGGCAGTTTTCCCCTCACAGTGTAAACAAAGCCACCAGGAAGCTCAGACTGGGCGGAGCCCACAACAGCACCGCAAAGACACTGTAGCTGGACTGCCTCTCTAGATTCCTCCTCTCTTGCAGGGCATCTCTGAAAGTAAGGCAGCAGCCCCAGTATGGGGCTTACAGATAAAACTCCCATCTCCCTTTGACAGAGCACCTGGGGGAGCAGGTGCCTGTGGGCGCAGCTTCAGCAGACTTAATTGTTCCTGCCTGCCAGCTCTGAATAGGACAGCGGATCTCCCAGCACAGCACTTGAGCTCTGCAAAGGGACAGACTGACTCCTCAAGTGGGTCCCTGACCCCCATGCCTCCTGACTGGGAGACAACTCCCAGCTGGGGTGACAGATACCTCATGCAAGAGAGCTCTGGCTGGCATCTGGCAAGTGCCCCTCTGGGATGAAGCTTCCAGAGGAAGGAGCAGGCAGCAATCTTTGTTGTTCTGCAGCCTCTGCTGGTGATACCCAGGCAAACAGGGTCTGTAGTGGACCCCTAGCAAACTCCAGCAGACCTGCAGAAGAGGGGCCTGTTAGAAGGAAAAGTAACAAACATTAAGCAATAGCATCAACATCAATAAAAATACGACCATGCAAAAACTCCATCCAAAGGTCACCAACAGCAACAGCCAAAGGTAGATAAATCCAAGAAGATCAGGAAATACCAGCGCAAAAAGGCAGAATATTCCAAAAACCAGAATGCCTCTTCTCCAAAGGATCACAAATCCTCACCAGCAAGGGAAAAAAGTTGGGCAGAGAATGAGTTTGATTAATTGATAGAAGTAGGCTTCAGCAGGTGGGTAGTAACAAGCTCCTTTGAGCTAAAGGAGAATGTTCTAACCCAATGCAAAGAAGCTAAGAAACTTGATAAAAGGTTAGAGGGATTGCTAACCAGAATATCTAGTTTAGAGAAGAACATAAATGACCTGATGGAGCTGAAAAACACAGCACAAGAACTTCGTAAAGTATACACAAGTATCAACAGCCGAATTGATCGAGTGGAAGAAAGGATATCAGAGATTGAAGATCAACTTAATGAATTAAAGCATGAAGACAAGATTAGAGAAAAAATAACTAAAAAGGAATGAACGAAGCCTCCTAGAAATATGAGACTATGTGAAAAGACCAAACCTACATTTGATTGGTGTTCCTGAAAGTGACAGGGAGAATGGAACCAAGTAGGAAAGCATACTTCAGGATATTATCCAGGAATACTTACCCAACCTAGCAAGACAGGCCAACATTCAAATTCAGAAAATACAGAGAACACCACAAAGATACTTGTTGAGAAGAGCAACCCCAAGACACATAATTGTCAGATTCACCAAGGTTGAAATGAAGGAAAAAATGTTAAGGGCAGCCAGAGAGAAATGTCAGGTTACCCACAAAGGGAAACCCATTAGACTAACAGTGGACCTCTCTGCAGAAACCCTACAAGCCAGAAGAGACTGGGGGCCAATATTCAACATTCTTAAAGAAAAAAATTTTCAACCCAGAATTTCATATCCAGCCAAACTAAGCTCCATGAGTGAAGGAGAAATAAAATCCTTTACAGACAAGCACATGCTGAGGGATTTTGTCACCATCAGGCCTGCCTTACAAGGGCTCCTGAAGGAAGCACTAAATATGGAAAGGAGAAATTGGTACCAGCCACTGCAAAACAAACCAAAATGTAAAAATCATCAAAACTATGAAGAAACTGCATCAACTAATGGGCAAAATAACCACCTAGCATCATAATGACAGGATAAAATTCACACATAACAATATTAACCTTAAATGTAAATGGGTGAAATGCCCCAATTAAAAGGCACAGACTGGCAAAGTGGATAAAGCATCAAGACCCATCAGTGTGCTATATTCAGGAGACGCATCTCATGTGCAAAGACACACATAGTCTCAAAATAAAGGGATGGAGGAATATTTACCAAGCAAATGTAATCATAATGGTAAAGGGATCAATGCAACAAGAAGAGATAACTATCCTAAATATACATGCACCCAATACAGGACCACCCAGATTCATAAAGCAAGTTCTTAGAGACCTAGAAAGAGACTTAGACTCCCACCCAATAATAGTGGGAGACTTTAACATCCCCACTGTCAATATTAGGTAAATCAATGAGACAGAAAATTAACAAGGATATTCAGGACTTGAACTCAGCTCTGGACCAAGTGGACCTAGTAGACATCTCCAGAACTCTTCACCCCAGATCAACAGAATATACATTCTTCTCAACACCACATCACATTTATCCTAAAATTGATCACATAGTTGGAAGTAAAACACTCTTCAGCAAATGCAAAAGAATGAAAATCATAACAAACAGCCTCTCAGACCACAGTGCAATCAAATTAGAACTCAGGGTTAAGAAACTCACTCAAAACTGCACAACTACATGGAAACTGAACAACCTGCTCCTGAATGACTACTGGGTAAATAGTGAAATTAAGGCAGAAATAAATAAGCTCTTTGAAACCAATGAGAACAAAGACACAATGTACCAGAATCTCTGGGACACAGCTAAAGCAGTGTTTAGAGGGAAATTTATAGCACTACATGCCCAGAGGAGAAAGCAGGAAAGATCTAAAATTGACACCCTAACATCACAATTAAAAGAACTAGAGAAGCAAGAGCAAACAAATTCAAAAGCTAGCAGAAGACAAGAAATAACTAAGATCAGAGCAGAACTGAAGGAGATAGAGACACAAAAAACCCTTCAAAAAGTCAATGAATCCAGGAGTTGGTTTTTTGAAAAGATTAACAAAATAGATCACTATCTGGACTAATAAAGAAGAGAAGAATGAAATAGACACAATAAAAAATGATAGGAGATCACCACTGATCCCACAGAAATACAAACTACCATCAGAGAATACTATAAACACCTCTACACAAATAAACTAGAAAATCTAGAAGAAATGGATAAATTCGTGGACACATACACCCTCCCAAGACTAACCAGGAAGTTGTCGAATCCCTGAATAGACCAATAACAAGCTCTAAAATTGAGGCAGTAATTAATAGCCTATCAATCAAAAGAAGCCTAGGACCAGACAGATTCACAGCTAAATTCTACCAGAGGTACAAAGAGGAGCTCTTACCATTCCTTCTAAAACTATTCTAAACAATAGAAAAAGAAGGACTCCTCCCTAACTCATTTTATGAGGCCAGCATCATGCTAATACCAAAACCTGGCAGAGACAAAAACAAAAAAGGAAATTTTCTACCAATATCCCTGATGAACATTAATGTGAAAATCCACAATAAAATACCGGCAAACCGAATCCAGCAGCACATTAAAAAGTTATCCACCACGATTAACTTGGCTTTATCCCTGGGATGCAAGGCTGGTTCAACATATGCAAATCAGTAAAGGTAATCCATCACATAAACAGAACCAATGACAAAAACCACATGAGTATTGCAATAGATGCAGAAAAGGCCTTTGATAAAATTCAACACCTCTTCATGCTAAAAACACTCACTCAACTAGGTATTGATGGAACATATCTCAAAATAATAAGAGCTATTTATGACAAACCCACAGCAAATATCATACTGAATGGGTAAAAGCTGGAAGCATTCCCTTTGAAAACCAGAACAAGAGAAGAATGCCCTCTCTCACCACTGTTATTCAACGTAGTATTGGAAGTTCTGTTCACGGCAATCAGGAAAGAGAAAGCAATAAAATGTATTCAAATAGGAAGACAGGAAATCAAATTGACTCTGTTTGCAGATGACATGATTGTATATTCAGAAAGCCCCCTTGTCTCAGCCCAAAATCTCCTTAAGCTGATAAGCAACTTCAGCAAAATCTCAGGACACAAAATCACTGTGCAAAAATCATAGGCATTCCTATAAACTAATAATAGGCAAATAATGAGCAAACTCCCATTCACAATTGCTACAAAGAGAATAAAATACCTAGGAATACAACTTACAAGGCATGTGAAGGACCTCTTCAAGGAGAACTACAAACCACTGCTCAAGAAAATAAGAGAGGACACAAAAAAATGGAAAAATATTCCATGCTCGTGGATAGGAAGAATCAGTATCATGAAAATGGCCATATTGCCCAAAGTAATTTATAGATTCAATGCTATTCCCATCAAGCTACCATTGACTTTCTTCATAGAATTAGAAAAAACTACTTTAAATTTCATTTGAAACCAAAAAAAGAGCCCTTATCACCAAGATAGTCCTAAGCCAAAAGAACAAAGCTGGAGGCATCATGCTACCTGACTTCAAACTACACTACAAGGCTACAGTAACCAAAACACCATGGTACTGGTACCAAAACAGATATATAGACCAATAGAACAGAACAGAGCCCTCAGAAATAACACCACACATCTACAACCATTTGACCTTTGACAAACTTGACAAAAACAAGCAATGGGGAAAGGATTCCCTATTTTAAAATGATGTTGGGAAAATTGGGTAGCCATATGCAGAAAACTGAAACTGGACTCCTTCCTTACTCCTTATATAAATCAACTCAAGATGGATTAAAGATTTAAATATAAGACCTAACACCATAAAAACCCTAGAAGAAAACCTAGGCAATACCATTCAGGACATAGGCATCGGCAAAGACTTCATGACTAAAACACCAAAAGCAATGGCAACAAAAGCCAAAATTGACAAATGGGATCTAATTAAAATACAAGCTTCTGCATAGCAAAAACAAACAAACAAACAAACAAACAAAACTATCATCAGAGTAAACAGGAAACCTAAAGAATGGTAGAAAATTTTTGCAATCTATCCATCTGACAAAGGGCTAATGTCCAGAATCTACAAAGAACATAAACACATTTACAGGAAAGTCAGGAAACAACAGATGCTGGAGAGGATGTGGAGAAATAGGAACTCTTTTACCCTGTTGGTGGGAGTGTAAATTTGTTCAACCATTGTGGAAGACAGTGTGGCGATTCCTCAAGGATACAGAACCAGAAATACCATTTGACCCAGCAATCCCATTACTGGGTATATACCCAGAGGATCATAAATCATTCTACTCTGAAGACACATGCACACATATGTTTATTGCAGCACTATTCACAATGGCAAAGACTTGGAACCAACCCAAATGCCCATCAATGTTAGACTGGATAAAGAATATGTGGTACATATACACCATGGAATACTATGCAGCCATGAAAAAGAATGAGTTCATGTCCTTTGCAGGGATATAGGTGAAGCTGGAAACCATAATTCTCAGCAAACTAACACAGGAACAGAAAACCAAACACTGCGTGTTCTCACTCATAAGTGGGAGTTGAACAATGAGAACATATGGGCACAGGGAGGGGAACATCACATACTGGGGTCTGTCGGTGGATGGGGGCAAGGGGAGGGATAGCATTAGGAGAAATACTTAGTGTAGATGACGGGTTGATGGGTGCAGCAAACCACCATGGCACATGTACACCTATGTAACAAACCTGTACATTCTGCACATGTATCCCAGAACTTAAAGTATATTTTTTTAAAAAAAGTTGTTGTAGTTAGTGGTTTTGATTGGGTCATCATTTAGTCTTTCTACTTAGGATAAGAGTAGTTTACACACCACAGTTCCATGTTGTAATATTCTGTGGTTTTCTGTGTACTATTACCAGTGAGTTTTGTACCTTCAGGTGATTACTTATTGCTTATTAATATCATTTTCTTTCTGACTGAAGTGCTGTCTTTACCATTTCTTGTAGGGTAGGTCTGGTGTTGGTGAAATCCCTCAGCTTTAGTTCATCTTGGAAAGTCTTTATTTCTCCTTTTTGTTTGAAGGACATTTTCACTGGATATACTATTCTATGGTAAATATTTTTTCCTTCAGCATTTTAAATATGTCATGCCACTTTCTCTTGGCCTGTAAAGTTTCCACTAAAAAGTCTGCTGCCAGATGTATTGGAGCTCCATTGTATGGTATTTATTTCTTTTCTTTTGCTGATTTTAGGATACTTTCTTTATCCTTAATCTTTGCGAGTGTGATTATTATAATGCCTTGAGGTAGTCTTTTTTGGGGTAAATTTGACTGGCATTCTATAACTTTCTTGTACTTGGATATTGATATCTTTCTTTACGTTTGTGAAGTTCTCTGTTATTATCTCTTTGAATAAAACTTCTACCCCTATCTCTTTCTCTGCCTCCTCTTTAAGGCCAGTAACTCTTAGATTTGTCCTTTTGAGACTATTTTCTAGGTCTTGTAGGCATGCTTCATTGTCTTTTTATTCTTTTTTATTTTGTCTTTTCTGACTGTGTATTTTCAAATAGGTTGTCTTTGAACTCACTAATTCTTTTTTCTGCTTTACCAATTCTGCTATAAAGAGTCTGATAAATTCTTCAGTATGCCAGTTGCATTTTTCAGCTCCAGAATTTCTGCTTGATTCCTTTTAATTATTTCAATATCTTTGTTAAATTTATCTGATAGAATTCTGAATTTCTTCTCTGTGTTCTCTTGAATTTCTTTGAGTTTCCTTAACACAGCTGTTTTGAATACTCTGTCTGAAAGGTCACATATCTCTGTTTCTTCAGGATTGGTCTCTGGTGCCTTATTTAGTTCATTTGGTGAGGTTGTTTTCCTGGACTGTCTTCATACAGATGTTCATCTGGTCTGGGTATTGAAGAGTTAGGTATTTAATGTAATCTTCTCAGTCTGGGCTTGTTTGTACCTGTCCTTCTTGGGAAAGCTTTCCAGATATCCAAAAGGACTTGAGTGGTGTGATCTAAGCTCTATTTACTTTAGAGGATACCCTAAGCCCAGTAATGCTGTGGGTCCTGCAGACTCATAGAAGTACCACCTTGATGGTCTCCAACAGGTTCCAGGAGAATTTTCTGGATTACCAGGCAGAGACTCTTATTCTTTTCCCTTGCTTTCTCCCAGAGTCTTTCTCTCTCTGTTCTGAGCCACCTGAAGCTGGGGGTAGAGTGAGAACCCCTGTGGCCACCACCTCTATAACTGTTCTGGGTCAGACCTGAAGCCAGCATAATACTGGGTCTCACCAAAGGCCTGCTGTAACTACACCCTGGCTACTGACTATGCTTGCCTAATGCCCTGGGGCTCTACAATCAGCAGGTGGCTAAGTCAGCCAGGTTTCTGTCCTTCCCTTCAATGTGGTAAGATCCCCCAGAGGTGCTATCCAAAAGCCAGGGACTAAAGTCAAAAGCCTTAGAAGTCTATTTCGTGTTCTATGACCAAGTTGGAACTCAAACCACAGGATGCAGTTCTTCCCACTCTTTCTTCTCCTTCCCAAAGGCAGAGGAGTTAGAAAAAGAATAAAAGAAACCCTCACCCAATATTTAAGAAGGAAATGAATTCCAAATAAAATTTTAATGAGATTTATTTTTGGACTTTAATGATGGGATTCAACAACTTATCTAATAAAATAATTGGGTGATAATAGCTATGAAATTTTGGAAATAGATTAATTGGCATATGTGTGCATGTGAGAGAGAGAGAGGTAGGAGGAAAGTTTTACCCCATTATAATATATTATCAATTTGAAGTAATCTATGTGTTATACTGCCACAAGAATGAATGGAGAGGTCAATGGAACAAAATAGATTGCCTGTCAATTTACATAGTAGAAGAACTGTGAGCCAGTGGGGGAAGGAAAGGCGATAAATGAAGCTGAAATGATTGGCTAGTGATTTGGAAAGTTCCATATTAAATTTTCCTGTTATACTCTCAACAAATTTCAGGCCAATCAAATGTTAAATGCAAAAATATGTCCAAAATATCTCATAAAAACTAGAATAAATATACTCATCTATTCCCTGGATAGACAAGATTTTCCTAAGCTCAAAGGAAGAAAAGACTTTATGAGGGCAGAAAAATGATAAATTTCACTATAATAATTTAAGATATTTGAATTTGAAAATAAAAATAAAGGCAAAAAACAAAATATAAATTATTATTTGTAATAAAAGTAATAGAGTTACCAGAAACCTAATAAGTAAATAAGCAGAATGATTTATAATCCTTTGGGCATATACCCAGTAAAGGGATTGCTGGGTCAAATGATATTTCTGGTTCTAGAGCCTTGAGGAATCGCCAGACTGTCTTCCACAATGTTTGAACTAATTTACACTCCCACCAACAGTGTAAAAGCATTCCTATTTCTCCACATCCTCTCCAGCATCTGTTGTTTCCTGACTTTTTAATGATCACCCTTCTAACAGGCATAAAATAGTATTTCATTGTGGTTTTGATTTGCATTTCTCTAATGACCAGTGATGATGAGCATTTTTTCATGTTTATTGGCTGCATAAATGTCTTCTTTTGAGAGGTGTCTGTTCATATCCTTCACCCACTTTTGGATGGAGTTGTTTGTTTTTTTCTTGTAAATGTGTTTAAGTTCTTTGTAGATTCTGGATATTAGCCCTTTGTCAGATGAATAGATTGCAAACATTTTCTCCCATTCTTTAGGTTGCCAGTTCACTCTGATGATAGTTTCTTTTGCGTGAAGAAGCTCTTTAGTTTAATTGATCCCATTTGTCAATTTTGGCTTTTGTTGCCATTGCTTTTGGTGTTTTAGACATGAAGTCTTTGCCCATGCCTATGTCCTGAATGGTATTGCCCAGGTTATCTTCTAGGATTTTTATGGGGTTAGGTCTTACATTTAATTATTTAATCTATCTTGAGTTGATTTTTGTATAAGGTGTAAGGAAGGGGTCTGGTTTCAGTCTTTTGCATATGGCTAGCAAAGACTTGGAACCAACCCAAATGTCCATCAATGATAGACTGGATTAATAAAATGTGGCACATATACATCATGGAATACTATGCAGCCATAAAAAAGGATACATCATGGAATACTATGCAGCCATAAAAAAGGATGAGTTCATGTCCTTGACAAGGACATGGGTGAAGCTGGAAACCATCATTCTCAGCCAACTATCACAAGAACAGAAAACCAAACACGGCATGTTCTCAATCCTAAGTGGGAGTTGAACAATGAGAACACATGGACACAAGGAGGGGAACATCACACACCAGGGCCTTTTGCGGGGTGGGGGGCTAGGAGAGGGATGGCATTTGAAGAAATACCTAATGCAGATGACGGGTTAATTGTTGGGGCAAACCACTGTGGCATTTGTATACCTATGTAACAAAACTGCACATTCTGTACTTGTACCCCAGAACTTAAAGTAAAATAAAAAAATAAATGAAAAAAAAGTAAATAAGCAAAGACATCAAAATAGCTTACAAAATAATAAATTAAAATGCTACTAAATATATGAAAAAGTGTTTGATTTCACCAATAACCAAAGGTATACAAATTAAAACAGATACTTTTTTATTTGTTTATAAATTATCAAAAGTAAAGAATAATCAACATTGGCAATATGGGGTAGTATACACTCTCATACAACAATTAGGGAAATGTGAGTTGCCACAAACTTTCTGGAAAAATCTTCAGCGATATGAATCAGGATTTCCTATATTCCACATGTTTACAGGTTACTTTTAGTAATATTTCCTTAACATTGTTCTTTAAATAAATATATAAATGTTTTAAATAAATTATAAAGGTATTACCTTTATAACAGTATATTATGAACATTATAATAAACATATTAACATTGTCAAAGCACATTCAAATGATATAGAAAAGGCAGAAGTCCTTCTGTGCTACTTTACCTCTTGTGAGTAAAGTACAACTATCATTGGTGTGTTTTCTTACAAGTCTCTTTTGCTGAATTTCCTATGTAAATCAAGAAATATTTTATTTGCTTTGAGCACTTTTTTTTGTTCAATGGGATATTTATATTAGTCAAGTTTGACAATCTTATTCTGCGGTAATAAACCACCACCAAAATTCTGTGGCTTCACATATAAAAGTACATTCTTCACGGTGCATAGCCATTCTTCCAAGCAATGATGTTGCTATCTGCACCTGCATATTGTAGCTATGTCACTTGGAACATATGTATTCCAGGTTTCTGATGTAGGGGAAGGAGATAGTCATGCACTGATTCTGAAATGTTTTGGCTCAGAATTGGCAAATATTAATTCTACTCACAGCTCATTGGTTAAAACTAGCCATGCACGTGCTAAATGACTGAGAAATATGGTGAAATGTATAGATATTTGGTATGCAGTAAATATCTCTGCTATAATAATGTGTGTATTGTTTCTCTTTATTTTTCTTCACTTAATTTGTATATGGCAGGCAGAAATGATGAGCTCAGGCAAGAATTGACTTTATTTCAAGTAAAGATAGAAGCAAATAGAGATTGTCTAGTGATTTAGGGACACATAGTTTGGAACACTCAACTGTTCTGAATACTAAATTAAGAGATAAACCTGAAAGGGTTTTGAGGAAAACAAAATCCTTGAGTCCTAATGTGAATGTATTTAATGTCACTGAACTACACATTTAAAAATGATTTGAATGGTAAATTTTATGTCATGTTATGTATATTTTATAACCATAGAATGTCTATAAGAATGCTTAGTTAAACAAAGAAAATCAGACTTGAAACAAAGATTAGATTGAGGTTATTGCTTTTCCACTCAAGCCTATTATATCAAAGGCCTCAAAGTAACCATCACCAAGTTGAGAGTGAGGAGAGGTATGAGGATTAAAGAGCAAGAAAATAAAGTAGGCTTGAACATAGGTGATGGTTACTGGCACATGAAACTGGCTGGAAGCACATAGATCAAAGTGTTTGAGGGAATTTTATTACCAAAGAAAAGTTAAGTCTGGCCTAAAAAAATCCTGTTTCTGTAAAACAACCATGGATTCCTAAAGTTTCATGAGCAGAATAAGCACTGCAAAAGCTGTGTAGTTCTTATGGAGGGCATTCACCCCAGTGTCACTTTATGTATAGCAATAGGGGTAAAGACAAGAAAGAAAGTCACACTTGAGAACAGAATCAGATCAGAATCAAGGAACTTCCATGTCTATGGAAATGAGACATCAGAGTGCTTGCCCAGTAGGATTTTATAATTTCTATGGACCAATGACTGCTGTATGGCACATATCCTTCCCTTTTTCATATGGGAGTGGTCAGAGAGGTGCACTGGGGCAGAGACAGCTAGCTGCCCACCAAAATTTTTTCTCCTTCTTTCACATGGTAAGTTGTTATCCAGCCAAGGATATCCCCCTCTTCAATTTACACCGTGAGCACTTCTCAGGAGGGAATGTGAGCAGAATTGATCAGGGTAACTTCTAGGCTTGAATTTTTAAGAAGCAGATTCACCTTTTCTTTGTACTCATTGGCTAATGGGATGTAAAGAACTTCTACCCTAGGGCATGGTGGAATTACAAACTGGAAGGATCTGAGTCTCTGAATCATTGTGTGGTAGAAAACCATCTGTTGATTAAGACTACACACATGGATTGTTGTAGGAATGAAAAATAGATTCATTGAGGTAAGCCACTCAAATTCTATAATTTATTCATTTCAGCTCTTGGGGTTACCCTAAACTAGGAGTTGTTAAGCCCCAGCCCATGACCAACTCTGGCCTGCTGCCTACTTTTGTATGGCCCATGAGTACAGAATAATTTTTATAATTTTGTCTTTAAAAAGATAGAAGTAAAAGTAATCTTTCCTAACACATGAAGATTATTTGAAACTTAAATTTTAGTGTCTGTAAATAAAAAGGTTTTTCTTTAAACATATTCATGCTCAGTCATTTATGTGTTTCCTAGGGCTGGCTTTTATGCGGCTGTGTCAGAGTCCAGTAGTTGCCATGAGATCATTACATCAGGAACCAGAAAACTTAAGTATTTACTCTCTGACATCTTACAGAAAGTTTTCTCACCCTTGTTTTAAACAAGAACAACAAAAAAGTTGGAACTTGTTCCATGTCAGTACATCAGCTCTTGTACTATACTTTTCCACCAATCCTAGGGGTCCTTGCCAGGCAACCATTTCCCACTCTTTACATGTTTTGTGTCTAGGTTGGCATTGATGGAATATGAGGAGGTAGATGGTCATGCCACCCTTCACACAGACTTTCCTTTAGTTAGCTTGCGCTTTCTCACAGCAGGGCAGTTTTAGGGTAGTTGGACAATGGCTGGCTTCCTGTAGACCAAGGTAGAGGTTGCAAGCTCCTTTGACCTACCTGGCATTTTCAATGCCATGGCATGTCAATATGGCATCATTATATGGCGCTTCAGTAATGTTCAATGGGCATCATTATATGGCGCTTCAGTAATGTTCAATGGTATGATCAGATGATCAAGTTCTCTTTTTTACAAGAATCTTGAGAATTCATAAAGTCAGGAATAAGATGATTAAAATGTACTACCACTGATGTCAGGTGAAAGCAAATTGCTTCTGGTTTTCTCTGCTCACCGGATAATGAAAAAAGGTAGTATTTTCTGATTAATAGTGAATTATTAGTTGCCTACCAGGTGCCAAAAGATGTGTTTATGTGCTCAATTAAAGAGCTTACATTTGGAATAGCAGCTAAAATGGGGGAGGGGAATATGATTAGTAATAATTCATTGTCGTTCTCTACAACCCTTGTCTTCTTCACAGGTGAAGCAGGAGAGTTAAATGGAGAAAGTGAGAAGAATCACCATTCCTACATTTTTCAATTTTTCTGTATGGTGACACTGCTGCCTGCAATTCCCCAGGGATGAGATATTGCTTTTCAATTTCTATTTTCGTACAAATATGTAAGTATAGAGACTTCTAATTGGACATCCTATTATATTTGTTCACATTTCGTGAGTCTGGTAGTCAATGTAGATTCTATAAGTTGCTCAGTAACTTGGAAAATATTCCTTAGAAAACAGAACCTGACTATTATTAAAAAGTAAAAAAATAACAGATGCTGGCAAGGTTGTAGAGAAAGGAGAATGCTTATACACTGCTGGTGGGAATGTAAACTAGTTAAGCCATTGTGGAAAGCAGTTTGGTGATTTCTCAGAGAACTTAAAACAGAAATACCATTTGACACAGCAACCTTATTCTTGGGTATATATTCAAAGAAATAGAAACAATTCTACCAAAAAGACACATGCAAACATATGTTCATTGCAGCACAATTCACAATAACAAAGAAATGGAATCAACCTAAATGTCCATCAACAGTAGACTGGATTAAAAAAATATGGTACGTATTCACAATGGAATACTGTGCAGCCATAAAAAAGAATGAGACCATGTCTTTTGCAGCAACATGGATGGAGCTGGAGGTCATTATCTTAAGCAAACAAACATGGGAACAGAAAACCAAATACTGTATGTCCTCACTTTAAGTGGGGAGTTAAGCTTTGGATACATATGGACACAAAGAAGAGTACAATAGACACCAGTGCCTACTTGAGGGTGAAGGATAGCAGGATCAAAAATCTACCTATTAGGTACTCTGCTTATTATCTGGGTGACCAAATAATCAGTACACCAAACTCCCGCAACATGCAATTTACCTATATAGCAAACCTGCATGTGTAGCCCTGAACTTAAAATAGAGTTTTTTTTAAAAAACATAAACAGCCTGAACAAAGCAGGAAAAGGGAACAGGAGTGAACTGGAGAGGAAGGGGAAGTAAATGCAAAGGGAGTTTTTATCATTCTGGCACAGCTGCTCCTTCTGGTGCTTCTGCTCTTTTGCTTCTTAATTCTTAATCGGTTTCAAACTTAAAGAAAAACTGCAAGCTCAGAACAAGGATTTTTTTTTCCTGAATTTTCTAAGAGTAAATTTACAATATAATGCTCCATTACTCTTGAATGCTTTCATGTACATTTCCAACAAACAAGGACAGTCTGCTACATAACCATAATATAACCATCAAAATCAAGAAAATTCATTACAGATACATTACTGCCATCTAATCTTGAGACTCTATTCAATTTTTCCAGTTGTACCAATAATATCCTTTGTAGCAGAAAGATCCATTCCATTATGTCATATTGCCTTTTTTTTTTTTTTTTGGATATGGGAGTCTCAGTATGTTGTCCAGACTGGTCTTGAACTCCTGGGCTCAAGCAATCCTCCTGCCTCAGCCTCCAAGTAGCTGGGAACTACAGGCATGTGCTATCGCAACTGGCTTCATATTGCTTTTAGTTGTCATGTCCTTTTATTCTGTCAGTCTGAAGTCTCAGTCTTTCCTTGATTTTCATGGCTATGACACTTTTGAAGATTACAGACCAGTTATTTCATAGAATATTCCTTAATCTGTGTCTGATGTTTCATCATTACTACATTCAGGTTATGCATCTTTGACAGAAATATCACAGAAGCAGTACTGTGTTCTTCCCATTGCATCTTATCAAGTGGCGAACAATTTTGGTTTGTTCCATAATGGGTGAGGTTACGTTTGATCAGTTAAGGTGGTGCTTATCAGGCTTCTACATCGTAAAGTTACACTTTTACACTATGTAATTTCTAAAATATTTTGTGGTTACTTTGAGATAATGTAAATAATCTGTTACTATGAAATTTTAAATTTTTTCATGTATGTACTATATCATTTGGGGCTCACAAATTTGTTTTATTCAATGGGTTATAATTCATTACTTTAATTATTTTGCCGATAAAATTGTGCCAGACTTGGCCAGTGTTATGTGCCTTCAAGCTGGCTTGCGAGTCTTGGTAACATGTCACCAATTTTAGCAAACAAGATGTTCTAGGTTCATTTTGTATTTTCTCTGCACCAGCCTTGGAATCAGCCATTCTTCCAAAGAGACCTGGCTCCTTTTAGTGGAGAGTAATATTTAAAAACCAGTATCTGGGCACTACTAAGTATGTGCATTGCTTTTGTGGAGTTGTAGCTCTTAGACTCTCTCAGTGCCCAGAGCTAGAGCGCGCGCGCGCGCGCACACACACACACACACACACACACACACACACACACACACACACGTACATACACATATACCCACAAGTTCAAATCTGTACTTCTTTCTATCTATATAGCTTCAGGACCATGATTTCAGCCCTATATTTCCCATTTCAATCTAACACCACAGGGTTCAATCTAGTTTTCTCTCTTTCTCTTTTTGTAACTCCCACCTCTAACAGTGAGAAATCTGCTCCTATTATCTTTTATATATTTATTTGATCAGTCTCCCTGAGTGTAACCAATCTCATGTTGTTGCTGCTTTCCCCCGCCCCCTCGCCCCCTCATGGATGCCCCCCCCCACTTCGTTTGGCTCCAGCACTCCGTTGAGGCCACCACAGATCCCTTCCTTCTCCTCAACCTCTGTCCCTACCTCCCCTAAGGTGGGTGCATATTTTGCTCAGCCACAGTTCTTGGATTTTGGATTGAATTGTTCAGGAAATGAAGAGAAAGAAAAGGAAGAGAAAAGAAAAGAAAAATGAAAGGAAAGAGGAGTGGAAGAAATAGGAAATAAAAGGACAGGGGTAAAAAGCCAGAAAAGAGAAAAGGAAAGAAAAAGAGGAAAAAAGAAAAGGAAACTGCATGCTACAACTTATTTTTAAAGAAATTCTTATTTAATTTTCTTTTTAAAGATGGGGTCTTGCTGTGTTGCCCAGGCTAGTCTCAAACTCCTGGGCTCAAGTGATCCTCCCACCTTGGCCTCTCAAAGTGCTGAGATTATAGGCATGAGCTACCATGCCTGGTTGCTACAACTTCTTAATAAACCCAGTGGTTGCTTTATCCCACTGAATGCCATCTGGGAGGCTGCATAAAACTATTGTAAGTCTGAACACTCAGTCCAAAGAGAGGAAGAACTCATTCCTATCCCCTATTTCCCACTAGGCAAGTACTCCCCATGGGACATTAACTGCCCTGTCCTTCTGGTTACATCACTCTGCCTCAGCACTCTCTAGGGAAGCTAGAGGCTCCTCAGGCCTGGTCACACAGCAATGGTTGTTTCTCTTGGTTAGGGGCCCTGTATCTTAATCTGAAGCAGTGGCAATAGCAATAGCAGCAAATGGGCTCCGTGACACACAAGCCACCGCTATGGCCATTCTGACAAGTAAACGAGGCAAATATGTGAATCTGGGGTAGTTATTAAACTGAACTGGTGTAGTCCATCTCTCCTGAGAGGAAAAATATAAGTCTAATTCTTTAAGTTGATGGCCAGTTTCAGAATAATAGCAAACCAACCTCCAGTTCATCTCTTGCAGTTTGTCCCAGAATTAAAATTATTATCTAGTATCTTCTTCCACCACCCATTCTAGATTGCTCTCTTTCTCAGACAGCACTTCAGCAGCTGGATTGCTTGCAGTGGAATAACCAAGCTCTCCATTCTCAAGTGGTGTGAGCTTTTAGCTTACCTTTCCTTGAGGACCAAGGATTCTGCTATTGCCCACTTATTGTTATGTGGTCATGGGAATATCAAGAGATCCCACAGAACCTTCACAGGATTCCTCCTGGCAATCAAGATTCGTTACTCCAGTCTCTACTTGCTGATTTTCTGGCAGGAGGGGTCTGCTATTGCCCACTTGCAGCAGTCTTTGAGCATAAAAATCTCAACAGGTAACATGGTAAATCCTCTTGGTTCCTCATGAGAATCAAGGTATGTTACTCCAGCCTTGGCCTGTTGGTTTACTGGCCTGAGGAGCCCAAAGTGTCCACAGAAAGTAAGATCTTACTATGTCCTGTTGTGGAAGAATTCCCCTCGTGGGAACCACGACCTCTAAATGGGACAGAGCCAAGGGTCAGGGATAGAAAGATCAAATTCTGCAATCAGATTATTGGTAGCCATGGCAGGAGAGACCGCTCCTAATTCTATATCTTGGTATCCACATTTGTGTATTCTAACTCTTGGGGACACAACACCATTTATCAGCCACTGGTTCAGTGCATACGGGCATCCTGGAGGACAGAGCCCAAATCCCACAAGGTATGTTCCTTAAACTGGAAACTTAGCTAAGTCTTCAAGCACCATTCCTTCATTTTATAAGGCTGGCCCATAAAAAGTGAGCCGTGAGATTTTCCATGTTCTTTCTTCTGTTCACTTGATACAAAACACCATGGTGACCTTAGAAGCGTATATTAAATATGGCAGAGCTACATGGTGGGAGGAACTAAAATAACACATGAAGATCACTCATCAATTAGGAATATTCACTTCAGATTTTATCTGCACAAAATGTAAATTTTATTATGTTTTAGTTATTGTAGATTTAGGAAATTATTTGTTAAATTAGCTAGAGTAACCCTAGTAACGCAATACTTCATTTAGAGCAAAGCCAGTGTGAAACTCCCACCTTTACAGAAACCCAAAATAATAATTACATGAAAATTAAGCCACAGTGTATTTTTGTTGATACCTACCTCTTCTCAGACTATTCACAACTGACTCTAAATTTGTAAGACCTGGTTAAATGGCATAATAATATTAATGATTTTTAATCATCCAGACTTTTATTAGTCCATTTTCATACTGCTATCAAGAAATATCTAAGACTGAGTAATTTATAAAGAAAAAGAAGTTTAATGGATTCACAGTTCCACATGGCTGGGGAGGCCTCTCAATCATGGTGGAAGGCGAAGGAGGAGTAAAGGCACATGTTAACATGGCGGCAGGCAAGAGAGCATATGCAGGCCTTTATAAAACCATCAGGTCTTGTGGGACTTATTCACTGTCATGAGAACAGGATGAAAAAAAACCGCCTCATGATTCAATTACCTCCCACCGTGTCCCTCCCGCAACACATGGAGTTTATGGGAGCTACAATTCAAGATGAGATTTGGGTGGGTATATAGCCGAACTATATCAAGACTATTCTATTTTATTCTGAATTTGCCAAACTCATCTTTACTCTCATCAACAATGACAGTCATATTCTGTGCTCCAACTTAGGCTGCTCAGCTGCAACCTGTGCAAAGTGAAATAAAAAATGCCTCCTCTCTTTCAGGAGAAGAGGAATGCAATTCAAGCAGCTCATATTGACAGAGAGAGAGAATGGTTCAACTTCATTTTTAATGGTGATACTGTATATACAAAATAAGAGGAACTGTATACTGCACATGCTGAGTTACTTTCCTAAATGATTTTCAGTAGCAACATGAAAAGAAAGTGATTATACTTATTCTTTAACACTACATGCTTTCTCTATGCCTTAGATCAGTGGTTTTCAACTGGTGTGATTTTTATCCTCAGGGGACATAGGGAAATGTCTGGAGACATTTTTTGATTGTCATGACTCTTGAGGATACTACCAGTATCTAGCAGGTAAAGTACAAAAATGCTGCTAAACATCCTACCACAAAGAATTATACAGTCCAAAATGTCAAGTGTGGAGGAACTCTGTCTTAGATTATGATATTTCAAGTTGCCTTCTTTAATGTCATTTAATTTCTAGTTAAATCCCAAACCACACCAAAATAAAATAACTGAAACCACTACCAGGTGGGGGAAACAGAATAAACCTAATTGTCAATTTGCAGTTACAGTATTTCTGATATAAAATGCTACCAAAAAGATGTATTACCCTCCTACTTATATATTATGTTTATTATATCATCTGTCAAAACAGTAAGGCCAACCTCATTTTTACAGTTTGTTCTCCAGTGTGCTCCTATTCTTGTTTTTCAGAATGGAGCATCACATACCAGATGTTCTAGGTTTGCAAGTGGATCATCAAAAGTGAGGTAAAGGCAGAAATTTGCTTCAGCAATGAAAATCCCCCAAACATAGGCATGGATAGAGCGTCTGAAGGACAGTGATTGGGGTGCTCATAGTCACACATGAAAACAGGGACCTGGTAGGGAGAAAGCCCAGATTTCTTGGTTTCTTGCCAAGTGTTCACAGCTGTTCTAGAGGGGATAAAGAACACCTAGAGGTCTCACACTTCCCTGATTTTCCTTGGAGCTGCTCTGTGATTAGGGAGTAGAATTGTGGGATAGTGTAAATGTGTGATGTAAACAAAGGAGCAACATGTAGCTTCTTGCTACTTTAATATAAACTCTATTGACTTTATTGAACTTCACTGTATTTCACAAACCTGGCAAGCATAAAAAACCAAACACCCTAGCTCATCTGGGCTTTCTTTTTTCTTTTCCTTTCTCCAAATATATTCAAGTTTGAGAGGTGGTTCAAACTTGTTATTCAGGAAAAAAGTTGGTTCTCACTTTCCTGTTCAGAGCAATATAACTGACACTACAAAAAACACAGTCATATCTGGGGGATATGTATGTGTTCTTTGTAGTGTCAATTATATACGGGTAGCAATATATATAAAATATATATTATATATAAATAATGGTAGTTATATATATTTATATATTATTATATATAATTGTATATAATTATATATAAAGTATATAAATTATATATATAATTTATATAAAAATATATATAAATTATATATATAATTATATATATTTATATATAAATATATATAATTATATATAAATTATATATAAATATATAAATTATATATAAATACATATATAAATTATATCTAAAAATATATATAAATTATATATAAATATATAAAAATTATATATAAATAATATATAAATATATATAAATTATATATAAATAATATATAAATATATATAAATAAGATATATAAATAATATATAAATATATATAAATAATATATATAAATAATATATAAATATATAAATAATATATATAAATATATAAATATATATAAATTATATATATAAATAATATATAAATATATAAATTATATATAAATAATATATAAATATATATAATTTTTATATAAATATATATAAATTATATATAAATAATATATGTAATATATAAAAATTATATAGAAATAATATATATAAATATATATAAATTATATATATAAATTATATAAACATATATAAATTATATATATAAATTATATATATATAAATTATATATATAAATTATATATACATATATAAATTATATATATAAATTATATATATATAAATTATATATATAAATTATATATATATAAATTATATAAATATATATAAATTATATATATAAATTATATAAATATATAAATTATATAAATAAATTATATAAATATATATAAATTATATAAATAAATTATATAAATATATATAAATTATATAAATAAATTATATAAATATATAAAATATATATAAATTATATAAATCATATATAAAAATTATATAAATATATATAAATTATATACCCTTCTGAAAGATGTCACTGTTTTTCACCATAGAAATTAAAGTATTGCCAGTTTAGGTTGAAAACCGTAAAATCACAACAATGAAAAAGAATCAATGATAGGAAATTTAAAAATAAATAAAATTATATTATATTAACACATCTGGGACCTGTATCTGCCAAGACAAACACCTGACTCACACTTCGTTTTGATCTGTTTCATTTCCACAAGCTTCTACATGCATCTAGTTAGTTGTTTTCTTCATTTTAAGCATGCTATAGGAGATGACCCTCATTTAAGTCACATTGCCTTTCAATGGTCAGCAGTGGACCCTGGTCCTATCTTGTCAGAACCAGTTTTCATACATCAAATTCAACAGCTGCTTTACTCTTTCAAAAAGGCAGTTAGTTGCTCAAACTCCAAATGTTAAATTCACTTGTACTGCAGCCATGTACTGCACAATTATGTTTCAGTCAGTGATGGACTGAATATACAATGGCATTCCTGTAAGACTATAATACCATATTTTTACTGTATCTTTTGATTGTATTACAGTTGCCTACAGATTCAGTACAGCAACATGCTGTGCAGGTTTGTGGCCTAGGAGTAATAGGATCAACCATACAGTATAGATGTGTAATAGGCTATACCATCTAGGTTTGCATAAGTATAGTCTATGATGTTTGTACAATGACATAATCACCCAACACATTTCTCAGAATGTATCCCTGTCATTAGGAATGCATGAGTGTATTAGTCTGTTCTTGCACTACCATAAAGAAATACCTGAAACTGGCTAATTTATAAAGAAAAGAAGTTTAATTGGCTCATCGTTCCACAGGCTGTACAGAAAGCATGGCTGGAGAAGACTTAGGAAATGTTTAATCATGGCGGAAGTGGAAGCAGGCACATCTTACATGTCCAGAGCAGGAGGAATAGAGGAAAGAGGGAGGTGCTAAACACTTTTAAACAACCAGATCTAATGAGAATTCACTCACTATCATGAGAACAGCAAGGGGGAAATCTGGCTCCATGATCCAATCACCTCCCAGCAGGTCCCTCCTCCAATATTGGGGATTACCATTTGACATGAGATTTGGGTGGGGACAAAAATCCAAACCATATTATGACTATGTTAACTTTTTTTCTTGTAGACAATCACAATATTTGGAGGAGAAAGAATGAAAATAAAAGGAGGAAAATACAGGTATAGAATTAACTAGGTCTTCTTTCACCAATCCTATTTAACATAGCATTAGAAGTTCTAGCCAAGGCAATCAGGCAAGTGAAAGAAATAAAGCGTATTCAAATAGGAAGAGAGGAGGTCAAGCTATCTTGACAAATGACATGATTCTATATCTAGAAAACCCAAAAACTTCTTACACTGATAAGTAACTTCAGCAAAGTCTTAGGATACAAAATCAGTGTGCAAAAATCACTTGCATTCCTATACATCAACAACAGGCAAGCAAAGAGCCAAATTATGAATGAATTCCCATTCACAATTGCCACAAAAAGAATAAAATATGAAGAAATACAACGAACAAGGGAAGTGAAAGACCTCTTCAAGGAGAACTACAAACCACTGCTCAAAGAAATCAGAGATGACACAAACAAATGAAAAAACACTCCATGTTCATGGATGGGAAGAATCACTATCATTAAGATGGCCATACTGCCCAAAGCAATTTATAGATTCAATGCTATTCTCATTAAACTACCATTGACAATCCTTACAGAATTAGAAAAAAACTATTTTAAAGTTCATATGGAATGAAAAAGAGCCTGAATAGCCAAGGCAATCCTAAGCAAAAAGAACAAAGCTAGGGGCATCATGTTATCTGACTTTAAACTATTTTACAAGTCTACAGTATCCAAAACAAAATGGTACTAGTAAAAGAACAGACACATAGACCAATGGAACATAATAGAGAACCTGGAATAAGTCCACACACCTACAACTATCTGATTTTCAGCAAATCTGACAAAAACAAACAATGGGGAAATGATTCCCCATTTAACAAATGGTGCTGGGAGAACTGGCTAGCCATGTGCAGAAAATTAAAACTGGATCCCTTCCTTACACCATGTACAAAAATCAACTCAAGATGGATTAAAAACTTAAATGTAAAACCCAAAGCTATACAAACCTTAGAAGAAAACCTAGGCAATACCATTCAGGACATAAACATGGGGAAATATTTCATGACAAAGATTCCAAAAGCAATTGCAACAAAAGCAAAAATTGACAAATGGGATCTAATTAAACTAAAGAGCTTCTGCACAGCAAAAGAAACTATCAACAGTGTGAACAGACAACCTACAGAATGGGAGAAAATTTTTGCAATCTATTCACCTGACAAAAGTCAAATATCCGGAGTCTACAAGAAACTTAAACATATTTATAAGAAAAAAACCAACCCCATTAAAAAGTGGGCAAAAGACATGAACAGACCCTTCTCAAAAGAAGACAAACATGCACCCAACAAACATATGAAAAAAACCTCAACATCACTGATCATTACAGAAATGCAAATCAAAACCACAATGAGATACCATCTCACATCAATCAGGATGGCTATTATTAAAAAGTCAGAAAACAACAGATGCTGGTGAGTTTGGGGAGAAAAAGGGATGCTTTTATACTGTTGGTGGGAGTGTAAATTGTTCAACCATTGTGGAAGATAGTGTGGCCATCCCTTAAAGACCTAGAGGCAGAAATACCATTTGACGCAGCAATCCCGTTGCTGGGAATATACCCAAAGGAATATAAATCATTCTATTATAAAGATACATGCATGTGTATGTTCACTACAGCACTATTCACAATAGCAAAGACATGGAATCAACCTAAATGCCCATCAGTGATAGACTGGTTGAAGAAAATGTGATATAGATACACCGTGGAATACTGTGCGGCCATAAAAAGGAACAAGATCATGTCTGTTTGCAGGGACATGGATGGAGCTGGAGGCCATTATCCTCACACACTAACACAGGAACAGAAAACCAAATACTGCATGTTCTCACTTAGAAGTGGGAGCTGACTGATGGGAACACATGGACACATGGGATGTAGGGAACAACGTACATGGGCCTGTCAGAGTGTGGGGGTTGGGAGGAGGGAGAGAATCAGGAAGAATAGCTAATGGATGCTGGGCTTAATACCTAGGTGATGGGATGATCTGTGCAGCAAACCACCATGGCATATACTTACCTATATGACAAATCTGTACATCTGGCACGTGTACTCCTGAACTTAAAATAAGTGTTGGAAATAAAAATAAAGTAGAAAATAAATATGAATTTGTTGATTCAGGATCCACTAATTGGTAATAGTCAGGTGGTCCTGGGTTTAAATATCTTTAAGATGTTAATGAAGAAAGGTTATGCTAAGCAAATCACCATTATGAACAATATTAAAAAAGGACTATTAGGCTACCAATGAAAAAAATATTTTAAGGCATCTTCAAGAATTCCATAGTCATTTAAAACATAGAAAACTGATATGCTAATGTAAAATAATCCAATAGTCCTGTCACTCAGAAGTCCCGTATTTAACTGATGATGAAAATGCATCTTGTCAGTTTCATCTACTCCAATGTGTCTTACGCATTAAGCATATTGACTCAAGAGTGTAGCGATTCTTAGCTATAAGGCTTATTGGTATCACCTGGACAGCTTTTAAAATGTTATTCTCCAGAGATTCTAATTTAAGTATTAGCAGTGGAGCTCAAAGATTCCTTAGTTTTAAAATCTTCCTATTTGATTTCAATGGCTAGCCAGGTATGAGAACCACTGTGTTAGTACATTGTGAAAGCAAATATCTTGGTCATAAGCAGCATTTAAAAAATGAAATACAATATAATAGAATATACTTGAATATAGACAATGCAGTAAGGGTAGTCTTATTTTGTGAATTTTTGTGTTGACTATGTTTGTGAGCGTCGGTTTGTGGATATAAGTATCTACTGGGTTGCAATATAAAATATATTTTGACTCTAAATTGCAATAATCTATCTTAATAATTTGAACAGATCTACCTGCAAATGGAGTCAATGAGGTATATATGAAACTATTTTTCTATTAATAAGAACCTTTCTATAAAATTAATTGGCTTTAGTGTACTGAATAGAGGTTAAGAAAACAGATTCTGGAGTTAAATTACCTGAGTGTGAATCCCAGGTCTGCCACTAACTAGTGTTATTAACTATGAGGAAATTACTCAATCTCTACCTCAATTTCTTCAATTGTAAAACAGAGAAAATAATAATTGTCATTTTATAGGATTATTGTAAAGATTAAATAAGTTAATGTTTGTGTGGCATTTTGACAGCACAATATAATAATATGTAATGTGCAAATATTTAAATACATTTTTATTAAATAAGATGTTAAAAATTCATTTGGACCTCCATTCACAGAAATAGCAAAATTTTATCCTAAAACACAATATATTTCACTACCAAAAGAACATAGCCTAGTTATTTGTCAATTAAAATACTGTAAATAAATACATAAGTAAACAAATAAATTTAAAATATCAAGAAGAAGAAGATAGCCAAAGCATAAGATTTATAATAATAATTCACTGCAGAAAGAGGTGTAAAAATCAGCTATAGAGAGTTGGAAAGAATGGTTCTTCAAACTCACCCAATATTACGTATTTAATACAAATATGTAATTTGTATTAAACTGGTTGGGAGAGTAAGTTCTAGAATGTTGACTGAAAGTGTTCTTTATTGGCACCTCTGTATAAAAACCTTTGAATTTATTTGTATCTTTTATTTTAGCACATTGAGTGCTTTAATATTTCATCATTAAATTATTTCTATCCCTATTTCAGCCATAATTTGATGTGACACATTGCCTTTTCAATGTAGTGTGAACGTCTTTTAATCTTTTAATGCACCAATTCACTTAACCAAATGAAGCTTCCCTGAAAGATATTTTGTTTAGCACCTTTGATGTTGCAAATAAAGCACAGAAGTAAGAAGGGTTAGTAAAATTTCAGTTCCTATAGTCACTCGAGTAGTTGTCAGTCTTGGATTTGGAAAATTATAGGCTCCATGATAAATATTTCAGGCAGCTGACTACAATGAAAAGTAATTAAACCAGCTATGACAACAGGTGCTGTATGGGGGGAATGCTGCCTTTTATCATGAGGTTGTGGGTGCATGTGCTAAATGTGCTCATCATTTTCTCTTTTCTATTATTCACTGAATACCCTGGGGAGATTATTCTATGCCAGCATTTATAAGATATAATGAAACCACATTAAATATGTATCTGATTGCTACCAACTGTGTAGAAAGCGTATGCTAACTATGGTTAGGTACAGCGAGTTAAACTCTGAGACCAGAGATGTTCAACTTCACTGTGGCTTCTTTGTGCTTGACCCATGGGTCTTTACTGTTTCATTGACCTTTAATTCAAGCATCAGGTATCTTTTTATTTGTTTGTTAAATAAAAATGTTCAGAGGGTTGTAACAAGATAAATACTTCTCTCAGACCTAAGTGTTTCCATAAAGGGAACTCTTTAACATATGGCATATGAAACAGCATGATGGAAAATGATTTTAATCTTATCAGTTTTAGTTACATATTTCTTTGAAATATTTGTGTTATTTCACAACACATCTCATTTAGCTTCACCCAACTCCTAGACTTCTCCTTAAAAACAAAAAGAAAATGTGTTTTCAATAATATAATTGTTCAATTTTGGTTACAAGGAATTATGTCTGTATTAAATGTCTAACATGATGCAATAAATGTGAGAATGTTTTGTAAAATAAAATGCTATGCAAATGACTTATGATTTTTTTTAAAAAACTTTTATAAAGGTTCAAACTGCTGTTTTAAATGTGGAAGTAACTCTTATGTACATATTACTACTTTATTATAACATTTCCTTTATAGAAGGATACACATTTTGCCAATATGACAAAGGCTCAGAAATCTCCTCTGTGTATATGTAGATCAATACTTGTTCATTGTTGGCAAATTTATGGTGTACAGTTATATTTACTGACCTCAAGATTAAAAAAATTTGATAATGCATAGAAATCTTTTTCTACAAATTGAATGCAATAAATTTAAAATTAAATGGCTTAAATTTACATATATTATTGACATCCCTATAATGTTTCAAGTAAATATGCTACGAAAGTACCTGAGAGCTTTGGTAATGCCACATAAAATTGATGAGAAAACATGTCTTCTATACATTGTAGCTTTGTGAATATAGAAAAATAAGAAACATCTCTAAATTTTTATGAAAAAAAGTTGAATATTTTCAAATTTTAAGTCATTTATTTAAACAAATGTCAACAGTTGAGTGCTTACTACATGCCCAGTACTGGGCCAAGCATTTAAGACAACCAGGCTGAATAAGGGTGTTATTGTAGATCCAAACACTTGAAAACATGTATTTTTCTTTTTAATCAGGGTGAGTTTGAAGAAACATCTTTCCAACTCTCTATAGTGTTTAGAATTATGGGCCGGACGCGGTGGCTCATGTCTGTAATCCCAGCACTTTGGGAGGCCGAGGCGGGCAGATCACCTGAGGTTGGGAGTTTGAGACCAGCCTGACCAAATTGGAGAAACCCTGTCTCTACTAAAAATACAAAATTAGGTGGACGTGGTGGCACATGCCTGTAATCCCAGATATTGGTAGGCTGAGGCAGGAGAATCGCTTGAACCCAGGAGGCAGAGGTTGTGGTGAGCTGAGATCGTGCCATTGCACTCTAGCCTGGGCAACAAGAGCGAAACTGTCTCAAAAAAAAAAAAAAAAGAATTATTAATCTGAAAGGCAGAAATTTTTCTATAGATGTAGCTCTACTTCCTAGACAGTTGTCTGGGCTCCATGTGCCCCACAATTAGATAGGAATGGAGTCACTGAGAAGGAAGTTGATTTTAACTTTATATTCATGCATTTATGTGCTGGGCAGTAGGGTTATGTGTCAACAAGATAGGCACTACTCCTGCCCCCAGAGAACTTACTTGCATCGAGTTGGGAAAACAGATAAGAGAACAGCAGTTACAATACAGTGTGGCAAGAAATATGGGAAGAGAAAACCAGGGAACACAGTAGAGAAGTTGAATTTATGTTGTTGGTTGGGAAATAGTGAGCTTGAAGTGCTTCTGGAACATACAAGAAATACTTGGACTAGAGGTATCAGTGGTAAATGTAGCAATGAGAATGAGTACCGGAGATTGCTTAGGAAGAGTATGCAGAGTGGGGAGAAGAAAAGGCCCTGAACTACAACAACGTATAAACCATGTATAAATACAGAGTCACCTAAGACTTTTAAGAACAGTCAGAGAACTAGAAAGAAAACTCTTAAAAGTTTAGTATTATGGAAGCCAGCAGCAGAGTTTCAAAAGCAAAGTGGTAGATAGCATCCAGTGTTACTGAGAGGGCAAGTTGGTTGAGTATTTTTAAATGTTCATTAGATTTAGACGTAGCAAATTTTGTTGATTTGCCAAGGGCATAGATAATTCGTATGTTATGTGTTAGGTGCAGCAACTTTGTTGCTGTTCCAGTATTATGATGTTCTAAGTACCCTGGCAGGCATTTTAGATACATTACCTTGGTGATCTTTACAGTATCCGTATGATCTGGTATTACTATGTGGATTTTACTGACAAGAAAGTCAAGGTTATATAACTTGTTTTGGGCCACAGAGCTAGTAGTTGGGAGACCTAGAGTTGAATGTAGATTTGTTTTCTTCACCTATAACACAATGCCTCATAGCAGTTCTGGCCCAATACATGGGAATGTAGTGTCAACTCATACCTGTTGCGAGGCTGGGCCTGATCTCTTTTGAGTTTACTTCATGCTGACACCTGGTTCCCACCTTATAATCTATTTTGGACTTCAGTGCTATTCTCTGTTCAAGTTTTTTTTTTTTTTTTTTTTTTTTGAGACAGGTCTTGCCCTGTCTCCTAGGCTGTGGAGTGCAGTGGCGCCATCTCAGTTCACTGCAACCTCTGCTTCCTGGGTTCAAGTGATTCTCCTGCCTTAGCCTTCCAAGTAGCTGGGATTACAGGCACAAGCCACCATGCCTGGCTAATTTTTGTATTTTCAGTAGAGATGGGGTTTCACCATGTTGTCCAGGCTGGTCTCAAACTCCTGACCTCTGGTGATCCACCCACCTCGGCCTCCCAAAGTGCTGGGATTACAGGCGTGAGCCACCACGCCTGGCCTGTTCAAGTTTCATCTTGGAAATCTACTTAGAGTATCAGTCCTATTGTGATTTTGGGCCAGATAACCATTTGTTGTGAAGGGGTTGCCAAGTGTGTTGTAGGATATTTTGCATCCCTGGCCTTTACCCACTGGATGCTAGAAGCACTCACCACCCACAACTGTGACAATAAAAATATCTTCATACATTTCCTAATGTCTCTGAGGGGAGAGGGTTGGGGATGGGGCAAAATCACTCCCAGCTGAGAACCACTAGCCTATAGCTGCAATCCACTTAAGACTGAGGCTTTTCCTAATTCTTAATAGTCTTTTGTCTTCCATACCACTAAGAAACTGGAATCCTGTGTCTGACCACAGGCTTGTTGTTACGATGCTCCTCTCCAATCACCTCTGGCTCTCTGACTTGGATTCTAAGTAGCCTTCTCCTGGATGTAGTGCTGCTGGGCTCAACCTGCCTACAGGGAAAAGTGTGTTGCGCCACCTAAGACCCCCCACCTGGTGGCCTTTGCCACAGCCTGTGCTGACCCCAGTCTGTTGCTGAACGACATTTTTTCTTCATATCTGCAGCCAAGTGATCGTGTCTGTAAAGTTTAATTTAAGTTCTAAATACCTGCCTTCTGTCTCTTCTATATAGTCAACTAAGAACTTTCTGCCTGTTTCCCAAGACAGGATTACTCTTTGTAACGCTAATAATGGCACAAAAGCATGTTTAAGATGAAGGGTATAGCAGCCCTCGTGATATAATTTCTAGAGCATCTCTACTTTCTTTTAAAAATATACTGTTTTAGCTTCAGCATCCATCAGTTAGTTTAAACCCCTACATATTAAACCATTTTCTATATTATTTCTTGGGATGATGTATCAAGTTAAGTACCCAGAGTATTTAATACACATTAAGTTGTCTCTTTCAAATTTCTAGAATTGCCTACTAGTTTTAGAATTAAAGACTTTAGTAAATAAGATGATGTCCTTAGTCATAATCGAACCTGTGCCTTCAATCCTTAATTATCACCCTTAGAGGTGATAACTATGTTGAGTTTTCCTTTTCCCCATGCTTGGGCTTTTCTCTTTTTGTAATTATTCAGAAACATTTCGTTCTTATTGATTATTTTATTTGCTATGAGCTTAATAATCCCTCATTTTATTATGTATGCTTTAGGTTTGGCAAACAAATTCCAAGCAGTGTTCCAAATGCAGAGCCACCATAGTTTTGTTTATATGAGTAAAGTAATATTTTATATTATAAACATTGTTTCTGCTGATTCTAATTTTGAATACTGGATTATATTAGACAATTCCATTAAAAAACAAAGCAAGGCAGTTTATTCAGTGAAATATTTAGTCACATTAGTTGATGACATTTTATGTCAGATTTCTTCAATATTATATGATTTATGTTGTTAAATTTATGTAATAAACCAACTGTCCTATATTTACATGTATATTTCTAATTTGAACATTGTTCACCTAGCTATGTCTTATAAGTAGGCTACATCCAGATGATTACGCTTGACCTATTTTGAAAAGTTGTTATCCTGTGTATCAGCCATTGTATTAGTCTGTTCCCACTGCTGTAAATAAATATCTGAGACCAGGTAATTTATAAAGAAAAGAGGTTTAACTGGCTTGTGTTTCTGCAGGCTGTATGAGAAGCGTAGCAGCTTCTGCTCGGCTTCTGGGGTGGCCTCAGGGAACTTTCAATCACAGTGGAAGGCAAAGTGGGAATGAGCACTTCACATGGCTGAAGCAGGAGGAAGAGGGGTGAGGGAGAAGCTATAGCACTTTTAAACAACCAGATTTCATGAGAATTCACTCACTATTGTGATACAGTGCAAAGGGGGAAATCGGCGTCCATGATCCAGTCTTCTCCCTAAGGCTCCACCTCTAAAATGGAGATTACAATTCGATTTGAGATTTGGGTAGGGACACAGATCCAAACTATATCAGCCATCCAGTAAAAATAAGACATGCTTTATTTACACAGGGAAGGGAATAATATTGAGTGTTCTTGAGGTTTTACTCTCTTAAGTCTAGACATGATGAATCTAGGAACATTAAGAAGAGTCCCTGGATAGCAGGAATGTACATTAGGAAGAACATAATTATAACTGAGTAATTCTTATGTTTGAAGAAAATAAGAAATTTAAAGTTTTAATTTAATCTTCACAGTAACCATATGATGTAGGTGGGCAATATATTATTATCTCTATTGTATAGCTGGGGAAATTGAGGCATAAAGTTTAAGTAATATGTCCAAAGTCACTCAGCTATTAAGTGGAGAATTGGAATGTAAATTCAGGTCTGCTAAAGTCCAGAATCTTCAACCTAAGCCAATACATTTCTAAAAGTTTCTGTGAGGGGGACAGGCTGAGGAAAAGGCAAGAACATTACTGAAGCATTGCTTTAGAGCACTTTCCAATAGAAATATAGTAAAAATCATGTATGTAATTTAAATTTTTCTGGTAACCACTTTAAAATGGACTAAAAAACAGAAAACATAATTTTCATTTTGTATTGTATTTAACTGAATATGTCTAAAATGTTATCATTTCAATATGTATTCAGTATAAAAATTTTAATGAGATCTTACATTCTTTTTTGTACTAAGTCTTTGAAATCCAGTGTGCATTTTATACTTTCAGCACATTTCAATTTGGACTAGGCATATCTCAAGTGCTTAATAGTCATTTGTGGCTAATGGCTAGTGTATTAGACAGAGGAGCTCACGAAACCTTGAAACTGGATTTAGATAATTTAGATTTTGAAGATCACTTTGCATTATGTCATTTAATCTCACATTAAAGATTTTTCTAGCCTTGAGTAATTTCATATTTGAACGCTCCAGCCTTGGATCAGGAATTAAAGGGTAGATGAGAACTCGTGGCCTCCTACCTCTGCTAGTGGGTATCATCATGGGAGCAGGTTAAATTAGTTAGGAATTCCCAAGGAAAAGGTAAATCTCAAAGGTCAAAAATCAGGATTTAGATCTAGCTTCTTCTCCTTCATTGTAAATCCTGGATTTTTTTTTTTCTTAGGTAGTTAGCAGTTGCCTTAAATTTATTGCAACAGTTTGGAACTTGAGCACTAGTGATTTTCAGTATATTCGTTTTGACTTTCCTTTCTTGCTGGATGTCCTTTTATTCATCTGGTAAATTTGCAAGCAGGCTGCATCTTGGAAAGTGCAGGCACAGGCTTCTTTTTTAATAAGAAGGTTTAAAAAAGAAGGCTTCTTTTTAAATATCTCATTATCTAATGAGATAACTCATTAGATAATTCGTTAGACAACGGCATAGATAGCAACAAACTCCCAACCAGATTGCTATGGAATAGTCCCTTCTATTTAGAATTTCTAGCACCGCTATAGTTTAAGTCATTCCTCAAAGTGAAATTGAGAGGTTAGAAACAGACAATGGGGCAAGAAAAGCAGTTTCCCACAGCAGCTTACATGACTTATGAGCAAAAACTGGTTCACAAAATGGACAACAGAGTGTGTTGAAAAGAAACTAGATATTTACAATGAAGAACTTAGGCAAGGGATACTTTTACTGTAAGATATTTCAGGACAGTTGTGATGTAATCATGAGCTTACATGAAAATAAGTAAAGGATGATAATTGTCAATTATGTGATAAATAAAATTTTCTAAATCTTACACTTGCTTAAATGCCATTACAAATGTAATATGTGGAAAAACCTAACTCCACTAATTAAGAGAATTCACATCAATGTTATATACATGAAAATATGTACAGCAAAATAACATCAATATTCATTGTCATCCTTGGATGAAATATTTAAGGTTTTCTTTGCAAAAAAAAATTCTTTGTTTATATATATGTAAAACTCACAGGTAGATATGAGTTTAAAAGATATAAGCAGATGTGGAGGTGGAGAATAGGGCTCTGCTGATGGTCTTTGAGGTAATCAGGGCTCATATTATGACCTAGAGAATAATGGAAAGACAGCAAAGACAGCTAAGAGGAACTACGAAGATAAAATAAGAATGATTTCATGATTAGGCACTCATTTGACTTCGCGCTTTGTATCAAACAAGCTATCAACTAGAATTTGGAGCCCTATCTCCACACTGTTTCTTGGCCATACAAAAATGGAAAGAAGTTGGCTATAAAGTGATAAAGTTACTTCACTCTCTTTTCTCTCTCGGCATGTAGCCTTATCTTGTAAGAGCAAAGCACATGTTAATCTGGGAAGACTTTTAGCTTAATTTCTAAGCATGTAAGGTGCTCTGTTCTGACAAACCTTCCTAATTTGTCTCAATTACTATTGTTGAGATTAGCCCCTGCACAAAACAGAAGCAACAACAAAAAAGACAATGGCAAACGCAAGTAGAGATTGGAGATTTTTTTTCTTCATCAGGTTGAACAGAACTACTCTTCCTTCCTCTCCCTCCCAGTGTGAAAAGACTTGAGGCCCCAGGAAGTAGATATAAGCATTAAACGTTTCCAAATAGGCCCATATTTTGAAGCTAGTCCAGTTCCTGAGTACTGAATTTTTTAAACATTGTTTGGGAAGTTTAAGCATAACAGGCTTGGAACTGAAAGTCTTTGCAGAAAAGCAAAAAATGAGAAGCTCGGGTGATTGATTCTTTCCACTCTTGACTGCCTTCCTTATCTTTAAATAGAAAAGGCTAGCATGGGAGATTTTTACTGACATCCCACATGTTAACAGTTCTAAGATAATCATATGTCAACCTACCCCTGTTTTTTTTACTACTGTTAAAACTTATAAAAAATTATATTTAACAATGTCAGCCTAGTCATCCAACAGCTTTTTGCCTAGACTATTAGGCATCTCATTGGGAAAATATTTTGTATCTATTGAAGAAGAAACTTGATTTTACTTGGATGGTTCATCCCTTGCCCTGGGCTGACAGCAAAAGGGCCAAGCTCTCCATATGTTAACAACATTCCACAATGGCGTAAATACACCAGACAGGTTTTGTGGCTGTCACTACTTGTTTCTATGTCAGATAGGGATGTTTTCACCTCTCAAAACTTTCCTGCAGTTTTTCTTTCCTTTTCTTTATAAATTTTGCTGATCTATGGCAATATACCAACATAAATTCAGTAGGATTAAAATTGTACCTATAAAGTCATGAAATCCCTTACCATCTACCTGTATGGTCTTTTCTTTTAAAAAAATCAGCTCCTAAAAATAGTACTGCATTTGAGGTCCTGCAAGATCTTTATTTCAGTCAACCTGGGTTCAGCATGTATCACAACACAGTCACATCATTAGATAAGGCTCTATTTGTAGATGGTGTAAATTCTCCCCTGAAGGGTGTAAATTGCCAGATGTCCCAAACCCTAGCATGCTCCAAAATCTCTCTCATTAATCTGCTTCCTAGACAGAAGTTCTCATCATTAAATCTTTTGTTTCACTTAGACCAAATAGAAATGTGGTCTGCATGAGGCTACTACATAAAGAAACACATAGCTTATATATAAGATACATAGAATAGTTAAAATTTTGCTCAAATTTTAGGCGGGGCGTTGTGGCTCACGCCTGTAATCCCAGCACCTTGGGAGGCTGAGGCGGGCGGATCACGAGGTCAGGAGTTCAAGACCAGCCTGGTCAACATGGTGAAACCCGGTCTCTACTAAAAATACAAAAATTTAGCTGGGCATGGTGGAGCGTGCTTGCAATCTCAGCTACTCGGGAGGCTGAAGCAGGAGAATTGCTTGAACAGGGACCTGGGAGGTGGAGGTTGCAGTGAGCCGAGATCGTGCCACTGCACTCCAGCCTGGGCTACAGAGTGACACTCCATCTCAAAAAAAAAAGAAGAAAAAATTTTGCTCAAATTTTATTAATTCATCTCAGATCTCCTGTGTAACAACGAGTTTTGTGGGATGTGGAACATACACTCACCTACGTGCCAAACCAGTCATCTTTCCCACTTCATGTTGCAAGGAAGAGCTAGGTTTCAAAATAGAGGCAAAGGCAGAAAGATCGCTAAGCTCAGCCCCCTCTACCACATACTTGATCCTGTTGAAATAAGAAAATCACAGGACTGGGCGTGGTGGCGGGCGCCTGTAGTCCCAGCTACTCGGGAGGCTGAGGCAGGAGAATGGCATGGACCCGGAAGGTGGAGCTTGCAGTGAGTGGAGATCGCGCCACTGCACTCCAGCCTGGGCGACACAGCGAGACTCCGTCTCAAAAAAAAAAAAAAAAAAGAAAAAAAAAAGAAAATCACAGGACTGGAGAATTATTTGTGCACCTTTGCACCAATCCACCTTTACACCTTTCTAAAGGAGTAAGAAATTGTCCTATTTGTATATAAAGCCTTTCAAAACAAAACTGATAGCAACTCACTTATGTGTAATAAACCTTCCTGTTGAGAAAATGTTTCCTATTCCCTAATTAAATTTAGAGCCACTGTAAAAGTAATCAAAATAATTATAGAGAAGCTAAGACCCTTGGGGGAAATAATTTCTACAAATTAATAAAGCCCAATCACACTATTTCCATGCTGGCAAAATTATAACCCCAAATTGCTTTAAACTGACTGATGAAAACCTCACATATTTTCAGATTAGCATATACTTGAACATAATCTGTAACAGTGACATCTGGTGGCTTTTATTATAATGCTGTGGCATCCTTTGTACAAAGCCATGCCCTAATTAAACAGAATTGTACCACAGCTTTGTGTTTTATGCATGACAAAAGAAACATAGATGCATACTGGCTTTCACCAAAGCATTCCTTATAAATTTGGTACAGCAAAATGTCAAGTTTTTACGTGAGTTCATAAGTTTGAAACTTTCAGATAAGTGTATACAAATTAATATTTTAACCTTCAACTTTTTAGTCACACTGCCATGAACTTGCTGGCTTGAAATTTACGTGTTTAACTTTCATTCATTTTCCTTGTGTTGATGGGGTGTAACCTCAGATTGGCATACTCTTTCATAGCTTCTTCCAACACTAGTCTGTCACTCGCAGTAGCTAAAACCCCAGGCCGTCTGGAATAAATTTAATTCATTGCCCTCTTGAGCTCTACCAGGGCTAAATGGAGAGAGAAGGGTGAATAGGTGAATCTCAATCTTTCTCTCAGAGTGTTAAATGTTAATGATGACCTTGATTTGTCCATGTGCACTTCTCCCCTGCCCCCTAGTCCTGAGATCTAGCAACACATATGCTGAAAAACTTTCTGAACATGATGAAAAAAAATAGTGGGAAATATACTAACAACAAGAATTCTTTAAAAAATTATGTCTTAGCTGCTAGTTTTAAAATACCACCCTTCAGTTTGCACTTTATTCACTGCATGGAAATCAGTCAAGAGGCTGATCTTTTTGGCATTTCCATCTCTTAAACTTCTTTGACAGTCTCTTTGTAAACATTGGCTGATGCAGAACTTCTAAACTGAAGTTCTATTGTAAAGGGACTTTTAAGTTTGTATTTTTAGTAGGTTGGTAACTCAGATTATTTATATTGGGTAATCTGGTTTAATTCACTGTTGAATATAGAAAAGAAATTGTGACTAACAACACTTGTGTTTGTGTGTGCAAGTTGAAAGTGATCTAAGCATCAGGCCAAACTGTGGTAATTTTGACTGTAATGTGCTGTATTTAAGCAGATCCAAATGAGCAAAGCCATTGGCTTACTTCAATAATCTGCAATTTCTGCTTTCTTTCTGTCTGGGCATGTCGTTTGTGGTAGATAAAAGCACTTATCAAGAGAAACACTTTATTAGGAAGTTAGGCAGAGAAACAAACCATATACTCAAGCAAGATTTTCTTCAAATAACTGAACTGAAGTAACAATTTAATGTTTCCACATCAGTAAGTTGTGAATATATTCAGACAGAGAGAAACAGATGTCATTTAGCAAAATGCTATGCTGCGGAATTACCAATTCAAGGAATAATTCAATACTCTTAAGTTGGTTTTATTATCTCTTAATCCTTCATGGGGATAAGAAATATTTTTTCCAATATACGTAATCTATGAAATCATGGGTCAGAACTATCATCAGACTGCCCTTTATGAGAGTTTATGTTAGTCGCCATAAAAAATACGACTCCTTGATGAAATTTTCCAATCTTATGGACCATCTAGACACTGAAAAACTCTCAAGTTTATCATTGATAATGTTTCTACTAAATCCTAGACTGTAATGATCATTGTTTAGTTGGATGTCTAGTAGATATCTCAAACTTAACATGTCAGCAGTATTCTTGATCTACCCAGCAAAGTATCTTCCCCCATTGTACTCACCATCTAAATAAATGGTACCTTCATTCTTCTAGTAGCTCAGCCTAAAAAACCTTGAGTCATCTTTGACTTTTTTCTTTCTCTCATATGCCATATCCTATCCAATCCATCAGGAAATCCTATTGGTTTTCTAACGTCAAAATATATCCTGATTCAATCATTTCTTACTACTCTATCGTTACTATTTCTGTCCAAGCCACTATTTTCATTTGCCTGGTTATTCTACTTTTAGTGCTACTTAAAATAAGGATGATGTCTGTTAATTAATACTGTAATATTAATTAGTTAATGCTGTATATTTTGTAATATACGGAATACTGTATTCTCACTCTGGCAGTCAAAATAATCCTTTTAAATCTGTTATATTATGTCATCCTTTTGCTCAAACCTCTCCAAAAGATTCACTTCTCATGCAAAGTAAAATTCTAAATTGCCGTCTTTGCTTAGAAGCCTCCATAGTCTGATTCCTTCTCTACTTCCATTATCTCCAGGATTGTCTCCTTTGCTTAAGCAGCAACAACCTGGCCTTCTTGCTTTTATTAGAATACACCCTTGTGCTGCTGCTTCAGAGCCTCTGTGCTTTCTGTTCTGGGGAACGTCTTTTCCCCAGATAACTTGTTTGCTGGTTCTTTCATTGCCTTCAGAGTTTTGTTTAACTCTCATCATCTCAATGAGGCTTTCCATACCCACACTATATGTGATTGTTATCTTCTTCCGTCCTTCCCCTTGCTGACTATCTTCTTCCTCGGGTATTTCTTTTGTTTATCACCAGCTGATATTTTGTATATTTTACTTATGTATTTGTACATTGTTTCTTTGTCTCTACTCATTTCCAAGAATATAAACTCCATAAAGTGATAAAAGTTTGACTTGATCACTGCTGTATTTGCAGCACCCACAACAGTGCCAGGAACATAATAAAAACTTGATAAATGTTTATTGAGTGAATGAATAGATTAGTTATCTGTAACTGCATCTTGTACACACACTTCCTCAAAGAAAAGACATCTCTCTTAAGTTAACCATGTGGATAGCATAATGTTTCTGATTAATCTGCTCGAAGATGCTGTTGTTGATGCCACAGAACTTTAAAACTACTGAATTCACCACACTTGATCTCTTTGACAGTTGATATGCTCCTGGGGATCTATGGATTGATATTCATTCTGATCTGCCTTTATTTTGATAGATTCCAAGAAATACCTGAAATGCATTTTCTGCCTTATTCTTGAGGACAATGATTAATTTGCAAATTAGATATCTCTTTTTTCATTTCAAATGCAACACTGCCTAGCAAGTTAGACAACAGCCACTTATTCTGGTTATCTTTTGCTATAAAACAAACCACTCCAAAACATAATGACTTAAAACAACAAGAACAGTAATTTGCTCATGAGTCTTATTGGAGAAAGGCTTGGCAGGAGATAGCTTGTCTCTGCTACACTCAGCATCATCTGGGGGTGACATAAAGCCTGGGGGCTGAAGTCACTTGAAGGCTTGCAACTAATGCTGCCTGTCAGCTGAGACCTTAGCTGGGGCATTGGCTGGAACATTTTGACATGCCTCTGCATATACTTTGGGCTTCCTCACTACATGGTGACTGTTTTTCAAAATGAGCATTCCCAAGAGAGATGCTCAGGTGGAAGCCATATCCCCTTTTAGGAACCAGTCTTGGGAGTCATGCAAGGCCACTTCTGTTGCATTTTGTTTGTCAAGACCATCACAAAGTTCTGTCTGATTTCAAGGCTAGGAGACAGAGATTTTATCTCTTGGAAGGGAAGTGGCTGAAAGAGCATGTAGGGAAGATTCTGAAAGAGCATGTGAGAGTAGAGATATTGTTATGGCAATTTTTGAATAATGCAAACTGCCACATCCACTACAAGGTATTTGAGGTGCTTTGAGCTCTACATTGACTTAAGTGATACTCTATTAAAAGAGCTCATAATAAAGATCTAGAATTTCCATATTGTCTCTCAAATAATCTATGTACTGCTATCACACAGAGGGTAGTGTCGCAGTTTTAAAATGTGTCTACATATCTTTTACAACCTTCCTGTCACAAAGTGGCTACTTTATTTCTTCCTTGTGAATCTATGCTGACCTTACAGACTTGCTTATTACCAATGCAATGCTGCAGAAGCAGCATTGTGTGAATTCCAAGGCAGCTTTAACCTTCACCAGTGGAATACTTGTGTTTGGAGCTGTGAGCTACCATGTACGAACTCCATTTATCCTTAGGCCTCCATGTTATGAGGAGGCCTAGGCAATGCTCAAGAGGCCATGGATAAGTATTCTGGTTGATGGTGTTTCCAGTTGACAACCAGCATTGAGTGCCAGTGGTGGCAGTGAGCCATTTTAGATGCACGGCCAAGGTGAGACTTGATGGCTGCAGCCCTATCTACATCTGATTGCAACCACATGAGTGACCTCCAGGTGAGAACTGACCAACCAAACCCTTCAGAATTTCTGATCCACAAAATCATGAGCAAAATAAAATGATTGTTTTAAATTGCTAAGTTTGGGGGTGGTTTATTATTTAGCAAAGATAACAAATAGGTAGAGATAATAGCCAAGAGTACATACTTTTTTGTGTGCACTAAAACTATACTTTTGAGTCTCCATTTTCTCAGAAAGCCATATTATGAAGATCTAAGTTAATATGAAATTTGATTTTGGAAAGTTGTATCTAAATAACGTGACGTTTTTCAAAGTTTAAATTTTTTAGTACTTGCTTTTGGGTAATGGTCATCAGAATGTAAGAGTTTGTTTACAGATGCCAATTTGACCTAAGTTGCTACCTTATTTTCATAAGAAGAAGTTATAAGGTGCATTCAGTGCCTAATGAAGATGTAGCTGCCTTAGGGACTTCACACTTGCTCTTTCCTCTGCTTGGAATTTTCTTCCTCAGACTTTCACATGGCTTTCTCCTTCCCATCAATTATATCTCCACTCAAATATCACCTTCTATGGGGGGAGTCTTCCTTGGTCATGCTGTGTATAATAATCTTTTCTCCCGATCATTCTATATTCCTTTCTCCTCATTCTGATTTACATAGCATTAATGAAAAACTGCTATTATCTTAGATAGTTTTAAATTGTTTCTTCTCTAACTAAAAGGTAAAGATTATGAAGGCATGGAATTTCCATGGTTGCTCCTCTTTGTATATTCTCAGCATTTAGAATAACATTTGGCACATAGCTGCCCTTTAAAAATAATTGTTAAGTGATTACATAAAATATAATTTGGGAAAAGTCATAAGAAAAAATTTATATGTGTTCTCAAATCTACATGTGAATATTTTCATATAAAATAGTTCTCCTTTTATCTTGAAGCAAAGAAAAATTTTGGAAGTTGAAGATAGAATAAAATTTTTATACTTTGTCCTTTCACTTCTAGAATACAAGAAAATATATTCTCTTCTAGAAAATACATTCACTTCTAGAATACAAGAAATATATTCTCTAGTCTATAATGAGGGGAAGGAGGGACAGGAGCTATGCTAGTGATCCAGGTACATGTCAGACTCTTGCCTAGCCTCTGAGCTCTGTATCTCATTCATTTCCAGTGACGATGCTGTGTGATAGATATTATGTCATCACCTCCATTTTACAGATGAGGAAGCTAAAGTTCTGAGAATCTGAAAAACGTCTCCAAGATGATAGAACTATTAAGGGGTAGACTGCACTTTGGAACTCAAGCCTGTTCCTGAAGTCCTTTTTGGAGAGAAGACTATGTCCAAACAACCATAATACAGAAGGTAATAATAACCAGTGTATGAGAGATACAAAGTACTGTGGTGGTTCAGAGAATGGAGAGACTCTATATCCTGTACATTTCAGGGAGAGCTTTATTGGGTTTTATATGGCAAATATTCAGGGACAGATATTTGCTAGCTGAGTACATGCCATACCAAAAAATATAGGTTGGTTGCCATGATTAAACCTGTTATTATTTCTTTGCAGTAAAATAATGGGAAAACTCTTCAAATTATTTCAAATTATTGAATCATCGACTGTAATTCTTTTATAAGCTTATTAACAGGTTGGTCTGTGCAAAGTAAACATGAGAACACTCTTATGTATAGGTTTCATCCAAGTCAGTCAGATTATCTCTAAAGTGTATTGAGTTATTGAGTTCATGATTGTATTAATAGTTAAAGTTAATTGCTTAACATTTTAACTGTTGCGCCGTAAAAAATCTGTACAACTGTTTGGTTACTATCATTTTGCTGTAAACGTATACCTTGTTATACTGTTTTAATACAATTTTTATACTGAAAGTCAACCTTCTGGTAGATCTTTCAAAAATCTGAACATTAGTTAATGAGCTTTTAAAATTGACAGCCCCTCCCAAAGCAACAATGAAATGTATCTCAAAGTCAGGGGACTGTATATTTAAGTGGCAAATTGAAAACAGACAATTCAAGAAGAAAATAAAAGTAAGAATTAGTTTTATAAATTGGTCTAGTTCTTTCCACTGATGGAAAATTGCAAAACATTATAGTAGAAACATACATAGTCTCTTTTTTTTTGTTTTTTTTCACTCAGTGCTGGAGTAATTTTCTAACTCTACAAAATTATTTTTTTCAAGTACAAACTAAGAATTATTTACTTAACTTCTTTCTTGGCAGAACAGAGACAAAGGGTGAGACAATAGAACGGTGCAATTAAGAGAACGCCTTCCTGGTTCCAAGAATTGTAGTTTGGGTGTGTGTAGAGTGATTCCCAATTGCTACAGTTATTAAAAATAAAATCAAGTATATAGTGATTCAACTTCCCACAAATAGGAAGGCAACTAAACATTTTAGTAAAAAGTAGTAGAACCATAAGATCTCAAAAAGGTAAATGCTCATTTTTTCTTTTCTTTTTTTTTTTTTTAAAAACACTATTTCATAATTTCTGACTTTTCTCGTATAAACATATTTGGGTCTCCCATCCCCACAACTCTCTCTTTTGGATTTTCAGATATAAATTACAGCATTTGTGAGAACCTTCGGATCATTTTGTTACCTTTGGGAAGCAGCATAAATGGTTTACAATTTCAAACAGTTCCGAAACTGTACGGTGTGTGTCCGTGTGTGTGCCTGCACGTGTATGCCTGCCTCTGTGGGTAAATAAGAAGCATGCCAGGCAGCATAATATAGTCACTGAGGAGAGGTCCTGAATCTGGTTTGGCGAATCAGGATGCCACTGTGTATGAGGGTATTACTTACACGAGCGGCAGCTGTTCTTGTGACTATAAAGTTAAACACATTGACTAACTATATTCTGAAGCCAGTGATAAACAAGTGTCTCAAAGATATATCCACACAACAGCACATGTTTAGCCTTTTATGCACGACAATGGGTGTCCCACATCAGCTTTCTCCTTCTTCAGGTTTCCTGCAGTCCCCCTGACTGTCCCTGTCACCCAGTGCCAGATGGGAAGTGAGAGCTCAGCTGATCCACCTCTTTGTGGTGGAAACCCCCAGAGCTTCAACTCCAGGCTACAGGTTACCAAAGCCGTCATGAAAAATTCAGAGCTGATATTAACAAGTCTGCTGAAAGTAAAGCGCGTGTCACATTATCCACCCTGCCTTTCAGTTAATACTAAAGCTACTGTCGCTAAAGGAAGAAATGCATACTTGCTGTCAAAACTATTTGGGTTGTGCTATGTAGATTCAGAACTAAAAAGAAAGATGTAAAAATAGAAGAGAGAAAGATCAGACAGTTGAATTACTGATAGTCCTAGAGAATAAGTGGAAAGCTGGATAGTGAATTGGAAGGAAGTGGCCTCCTAATACCTGGAATGAAAAAAAAAAGGAAACATTTTACTGAAGTTGCAGTTCTGTAGCTTCATTAAATGATTAAACATGTTTTAATTGTTTCATGTATACATTGCTTTTGTATGTTTTCAGTAACATCTATTTTGGAGAAGTTATTTTAATTAAAGACACACTGCTCTCAAAAAATTTTTGAGGTATTTATAAAATTAATTACTCATTATAATGTCTTGAATACTTGCTCCGTTCTAAGCACTTTCTATGTTTTAAGCACTTTTCCGGCATTATCCCATTTACATCTCACAACAAGCCAATAAGGTGAGTACTGTTTATTATAAACACCATTTTGCAGATTAGAAAGATGAGGTACTACTGGATGGTTAGGTAACTTGCTCATGGTCATGTAGTAAGTGGCAGATTTAAATCCACGTAGCGTCTCTCCAGATTCTGTATATTTAGCCACTACTCTATCATATTTCAAAGACTACAGAGAAGTTCAAAGGATACTATATACACTGCACGTTTCCCAAATCAATGGAGATTTCATGCCTTAAAAAGAATAAATATTTTACACATGAAGTTAAAGTTCCCTTTGACAACCAACCTCAGTCCCATCTTCCCCCGAGACCACTATTATAAGTTCTGTGTGTATTTAAAAATATAATTTTATTTAAATATGTATAGTGTTATATCACACTGTAAATATCTTTCTATAGCTTTATTTTACCCCAACATTTTGATTTTTGAAATCTATCCATATTACATATGAAACTTTAAAAGGAAAGCCTAGAGGACTATGAGTTTGTATGAATTCAATAGGAAAGAAAAAAGCTATAACCCAGCCATAGGCTACAGTACATATATTACCTCATGAGCTAGATGGGATTTAATGGGAGCACATGGGAGGTCTTAGCATGAATGCAATGATTTAGTAGCTAGACATACACATCAACCAACTGTCAACCTCCTTTGCTTCCCATCCCCCTTTTTAATGAAATGTGGGAGCCATACCTCATCAGAAACTTTAAAGAAAATATGTTTAATCTCTTTATGATTAAGACATTTTAATTTTTTGTTCTTTTCAAAATGTGTTCATTTATGTTACTGTCAGATCATAAAGTCATACTTGAAATTTCATGAGTATAAAACATTTCTCAACTTTAATGTTATAGTACATACAATTTAAATAAATAAAACTAAGCTATTGTGAAACTTTCTTAGTGAAGTTTCTAAATAGCTGAGAACACAGGCAAGTTTCTACTTTGCTTCCAACAGATAGAAGTTAATCTATATCAAGGAAGAAAAATATTAAGTGAATTGACTATACATGATTTGACCACAACCAAACCCTCTTGGTAATCTAAGCAAGAGCAATTTAGTTATAAAAACCTGGAACATTAGCTGGGATGTGTCATTCTTAGTCTAACCCTGTCTCAGCTCTAAACAGCAGTTTTTTAAAAAATAGGGAGGGGCAGAGGAGGGAGGAGTGAGCAGTAAGATTAAAAATATCATTAGATAATATAATTACTATTCTCTAGCACTTGTGAGTTTTATCAGTGTTAACAAGTGGTAGGACACAAGTAAACTATTCTATGTAGTAAAATAGTTCCCCAGGAAATAATCTCAAAATCTAATACATGCCAGTTATTGCCATTTACTCAAAATTCACCATTTGAAGGCCAAGAATGAGAGCTGCCTATATTAACTAAATTAGAGTTTCATATTCACTTACCTACCCCCCAATTTCAATCTCAAAATCAAAGTAATTATAATTTGATCAATTTTAAGAGGATAATTTCATCTGTGAGAAATGCAGAATTTCAATTAGTTGCAAGAGCCATATAAAATTGCTTAGTAGTCATAAATCTTAACATAGTTTGCAAAGAATCAAATAAACAATGATGTCAAAATTACAGTTGAATGAAGAAAGAAATCTAATGTTGTTTTATTGTCATAATGTGGGTTTTTACTCTGATTTATTTGTCAAAATTTGTACTTTTTGACAGTGTCCTAGTGTGACATGGCCATTTGAGCATCATCTAAAATGGTAGAAATAAGAACCTCTTTGTTATTTTTTTCATTTATGATATGAACAGTTTTTAGTTACTCTAATACTGAGCAAGGTTGGCAGGATAGACATTTTAAATGTCACTTGAAAATATGTTAAGCAGAATGTAACCTCTTATCACTGAATCTATCAGCTGAATATTTCTGGACAGTATCTAACTTCTAGGAGGAGAACCTTAAAAACACAAATAATCTGTTTCCAACATTGAAAACATGAAGATAATTCTGATCCACATACAGTGCCATTTATGACAATCATTATTTAATCTTTCTTCTCATGATAGCCAACATGAGGGCTCACTGTTCAAGTAACTGCTACCCCCTTTAAAGTGTTTGATATTCTCTTTCATCCAACCAGACTGTGAGGTACCTAAGGACAGCCCAGAACAGTACTTCTTTGCTTATAGTAGATGCTCAATAATTTGTAGGTCTCAGGAAATTTAATCAAGAATTTAAAGTTATAGTTTACATTATCTTTACATTTTCAAAATAGCCATGAAATTTAATCAAGAATTTTTCAAAATATTTTCAAAATAGCCATGAAATTTAATCAAGAATTTAGTTATAGCTTATATTATCTTTATATTTTCAAAATAGCCATGTAATTTACAAACCAAAATTTCTCTGATTGGCTTGCAGACTTGGAAGTTTTTCTAGCTTTCACCTAACCAACTTAGAATAGGTAGGCAATAGTGGCAATATTATGTGATGAATAAACTGTAGAATTTGGCCTTTTACATATCAATTCCTATTCCACTAATTGCAGCTCTATGAAAAACAGTCACAACTTTACCCTTTGAGAATCAGATAAATTCAACAACATGTTTAATGTCACATGTTCATTTCCCCTGTAACCTATATCTTTACCTCCAATATACATAAAAATGGAAATGTAAGAAAAACATGGTCTTATTTAGTAGTTTTATTACCAATAAAATAGCCAGATTTCTATCACTAAAATAAATGTTTGAAATAATTGTTTATCAGAATAATTCAATTATTAACTCAACTTTTTTTTCTGCAAAGGTAGATTTTTGTTATAATTCCTATGCTTTGAAAGTGACCTTTAGAGGTCAGGCGCAGTGGTTCACGCGTGTAATCCCAGCACTTTGGGAGGCCGAGGTGAGTGGATCATCTGAGGTCAGGAGTTCAAGACCAGCCTGACCAACATGGCGAAACCCTGTCTCTACTTAAAAAAAAAAAAAAATTAGCTGTGCATGGGGGCACATGCCTGTAATCCCACCTACTCGGGTGTCTGAGGCAGGAGAGTTGCTTGAACCCGGGAGGCAGAGGTTGCAATGAACCAAGATAGCGCCATTGCACTCCAGCCTGGGCAACAAGAGCGAAACTATGTCTCAAAAAGAAAAAAAAAAGTGACCTTTAGAGATAAGGTATGGAGTGTGGTTGTGCCAAAATGTTTGCCACATGTAGTGCAGTTAGGTAGAGGAAAAGGCAAATTCTGAGCCATATTTTGAAGCAAAGTAAAATGAAACATTGGTTTGTTTAGGAATAACTTGGCACTGGGTGACCAGTTTCAGATCTGGCTTTCTGAAGCCATGTCATTCAAATAGAAGTTGAAATCACATGTTTTCTTATAGGTCTAGCCCCACATTGTTTTTTTAAGAGCCAGGGTCTCATTCTGTCACCTAGGCTGGAGTGCAGTGGTGCACTCATAACTCACTGCAGCCTCAACTTCGTGGACTCAAGTGATCCTTCCATCTCAGCCTTCTGAGTAGTGGGGACTATAGGTGTGCGCAATTGTGCCTGGCTAATTATTATTATTATTATTATTTTTGTAGAGAGGAGGTCTCACTATGTTGTTAATACCTAGGCTTAGCCTCACATTTTTACACATGGTATCAGTAAAAAATCTACATGTACACAAGATTGCATTATTCTCCACATTATTGTCATAACTCTGGTAGAAGTCAATAGCTACTGAGAATTTACAGATACCCTTTCTTGTCTAACTTTGTGAAAAGTGAGCTAGTTGGTTGACTTAAAAAGAATCTATATATGTACTGCATACAACCTGATATACAAGTCATCATGAAAATCACTAAAGCAAAGAAGTTTCTCAAAAATATTGACACTGTCTTTACTACTACATTCACGGTTACATTTATTAAATGCATTCTAAGGACATATAATTCATGGCAGAGGTCATTATTTCTATCATAATGAAAATAAGACAAGATAAAAACTTCCTATTGGAGTTTTGCACTTTTAACTAAAATAATCATGCAACTTTATTTTATTTTAAACTACATGTCTAGTTTTTAAAAGAGCATTTAAAATATTACCTTGGAATAATCTCTTCGATAATGAGACTACTGAGTCCAAATGCAATGGATGTGCTACAAAAGGTTATTAAAGTTTTGTTTTTCTAAAACTTTCCATGATTCATTTCACACTGCTGTCAAACATTGGCACAATTAACTTAATGACATTAATTAATAATTCACTAACTTTTTTACTGAAGTCTGTAATGGCTGTGAATGACATTCATTTTTGTTCTTTTAAATTTTCCAAGTCTTTATTTCCTACTGCCCCATCTTTTGCTAATATAGTCCTGGCTGCTTTTATACTTTTTTTATTGTTTACTAAATAAATAATTGAAAAGTGAGCTGTAGAACTTCCTTTCCCATTTTTACTGCCTTTATAGCAATAATACATGGCCACTGTGCATTTATATTACTTTTTGAATTGTCCCAGAGCACAGTTACAAAAAATTAGCTTGCTAAAAATAAATAAAATATTAACAGCTTAAAACTAGCAGCCTAAAATAATCTTAAAATACTTTTGTGCTATTTGAGAAGGTCAAATATAGGTATACAACCTATATATGGAATAGAAAGAAGAAACTCCACAATCCAAATTGGAGATTCTTTTGGTGATAATGATTGTGCTTTAAATAATCTTTTATTGTCTCTACAATTCCTGACACATAAGTATTTGTTTAGTAAACATTGGCTAAATGAAAGAATGGATGAATTAAAATTTAATCCTCAAAGGAACATTTCAGAAAGAGATGATTTATTTTTTATTAATTGCAAAGTAAATAACTCCTCAGGGAAACAGCATGCTTCTCCTTTAATGAAACCCTTGTAACGTGCAACTGTTTGAGAACTTCTGTGCATGAGGGGATTCTAAGGATTTGTTTTATGATTAGCTAAGTAATAGCCCCAATATTCTCCCTTTGCTTGGTCGAAGATTTAAAGAATCAACTTCCACAATGAGAAATACAGCTTTGCCAACAGGCTGATGAGACTTGCTATGCTTCTCTACTAAACAGTCAAACAATAATGTTCTGGCTTTTCAGCCACTAAACTTAATTTTGAGAGCTTGATTTGGGTACTTCTCAAGATTTAGAAATCAAAATACTACTCATCTGACAAAGGGCTAATATCCAGAATCTACAATGAACTCAAACAAATTTACAAGAAAAAAACAACCCCATCAAAAAGTGGGCGAAGGACATGAACAGACACGTCTCAAAAGAAGACATTTATGCAGCCAAAAAACACATGAAAAAATGCTCATCATCACTGGCCATCAGAGAAATGCAAATCAAAACCACTATGAGATATCATCTCACACCAGTTAGAATGGCAATCATTAAAAAGTCAGGAAACAACAGCTGCTGGAGAGGATGTGGAGAAATAGGAACACTTTTACACTGTTGGTGGGACTGTAAACTGGTTCAACCATTGTGGAAGTCAGTGTGGCGATTCCTCAGGGATCTAGAACTAGAAATACCATTTGACCCAGCCATCCCATTACTGGGTATATACCCAAAGGACTATAAATCATGCTGCTATAAAGACACATGCACACGTATGTTTATTGTGGCATTATTCACAATAGCAAAGACTTGGAACCAACCCAAATGTCCAACAATGATAGACTGGATTAAGAAAATGTGGCACATATACACCATGGAATACTATGCAGCCATAAAAAATGATGAGTTCATGTCCTTTGTAGGGACATGGATGAAATTGGAAATCATCATTCTCAGTAAACTATCGCAAGAACAAAAAACCAAACACCACATATTCTCACTCATAGGTGGGAATTGAACAATGAGATCACATGGACACATGAAGGGGAATATCACACTCTGGGGACTGTGGTGGGGTGGGGGGAGCGGGGAGGGATAGCATTGGGAGATATACCTAAGGCTAGATGACGAGTTAGTGGGTGCAGCGCACCAGCATGGCACATGTATACATATGTAACTAACCTGCACAATGTGCACATGTACCCTAAAACTTAAAGTATAATAAAAAAAAAGAAAAACAAAATACTATATTAGAGTAAAGAAGAGCCAGGCAGCATCCAGTCCCATCTATTAGCTGTCTTATCTGGAAATTTCTTCGCATATTTTTGAGCTTTGTTTGTAACTTCATTTCAACTAAAATGATTTTTGGGGAGGGAAACTTTGGAGGGGCACTCTGTTCCGTCTCATTAGTCTATCTATTCCTATGCCAGTGCTATACCCCTTTAATTACTGTACTTTTTTGTGTGTTTTACTATCTGGTAGGACTAGTTCCTTATCCTTACTCACTAAAAGGTTTTTAAGCAAGGGAATAAAGTGCTCAAATTTGATTTTAAGATACTTCATTTTGGTAATTTCTAGGATGGATTTAGAGGGGATGAAATTAGAGATAGAGAAACTAGTTAGAATGCTATTGCAGTGATCTAAGTGAAAAACGTTAAGGCTGGAGCCAAAGTAGAGATGGTTGGAAATAAGGGGAGAGATTTATGAAGTAATAACTAAAATCAGCAGCATTAGATAACTTATTAAATAGCATGATTTTTCCATCACCTGAAATAGAGAACACAAGGTCAGGTTGTGTAGGTGGAAGAGCAAGTAAAGGTAAGTTCAATTTGAACACGTTAAATTTGTAGCACCTTTTTGAAAACTAAATGGAAATGTCCACCAGACCACTGGAAATATGTCTGAAAACTTGGGAGAAGATTGAACTAGCCATATAGATTTGGAATAAATAGAATTAATTGTAGCCATACTATCACCTACAAGAATATACAGACTGAAAAAGGAAGGGCCCAAGAATGGAAGCTTATAGAATACCATTAATAAAGAGGTTGGTGGAGATAAAGGCTCAAAAAATTGGAGAGGTTGGGAGTGATCAGAGAGGTACAAAAATCACATAAATGTGAGCTGCCATAGAAATCAGCAGTAGGAAGAAATAATCAGCAGTGTCAAATGATGGTGCTCAATAGCATTAAATGCAGTTAAAAAAAGACTGAAATGTTCTTTGGATTTGGCATTTAGTCAGACAGTAATGACTTTATTTAGAATTGTAAGGACTGAGGCTGGTTTGCAATGAGTTGAAAAGTAAATGATTGTAGAAGAAATTAAAAATCAAATTGTAGACTACTCTTTGAAAAATTTGGGTGAGGAGAGGAGGACAATGAAAGGGATATCAAGAGGTAAATTCAGGATAAGATAAAAATGTTTTATAATAGCAGAAACTTAATTATATTTATAGGCTAAAGAAGGAAAAAGAGAGAAGGGATAATTGATGGAAACAAATCTGACAGAGGTAGGGAGGGATGAGATCAAGATACAAGTGAAGACTTGACTTTTAAAGGACTTTCCATAAAATTGGACAAATTGAAGAAAGATGGGTATGAATATAAACATGTTTCCAGATAGGAGGTCAGAAAGTTCAGAGAGATTATAGCTGATGAGATTACTTTCCTCAATGGAGTAGGAGTAAAGATAATGATGAGAAGGAGGAGAGCACTGGGGGAGGTGAGCTGGAGCTTAGAAAATTCGTTGAGATAAGTGACAGAGATGCTATCTAAATAATAGAAAAGTTGACTGGCAAAGTTAAGAACCATGAATCAACAATAGTCAAAATTTAGAAACAAATGAGCTGGACCCATACAGTAAAAAATTAAAGTTTCTAGCAGATCAATGTGACCAGTAGAAAAAAATATACATATATTTCTTCAAACAGAAGTTTCCAACCATGTGAGTAGGCATGGATGAGAAAGTAGGAAGGGATTTAAAGACTGGAAGAAAATCATAATAACAAAGGACTGGAGATATTTAATTATTAGAAAACATATGGGTATAAAAAATTTTTTTGAAGGGGAGCAAAACTGACAAGATTTAGGGTTAGTATTAGGAGTAAGTGGAAATTAAGGTAACTGAAATTGAGGAGATGCAGGCATATTCTGGGTGTTTGGATGAGTCATTGACATAGATGTATAGATCTTTTTCTTTTTTCTTTTTTCTTTTTTTTTTTTTTTTTGAGACAGGGTCTCACTCTGTCACCCAGGCTGGAGTGCAGTGGCACGATCTCTGCAACCATCGTCTCCTGGGTTCAAGTGATTGTCATGCCTCAGCCTTCCAAGCAGCTGAGACTACAGATGCACACCATCACACCCAGCTAAAGATGTATAGATTTTATCACTTGCTTGAAGTCACACAGCTAGTAAGTGCCAGAGTTAGGATTTAGATTTAGGAAATTTGGCTCTAGAGCCTTCGGTTTCAACCACCATGGTGTCTTGAATCTTTGCATAAGGATGACACAGTAATAATATGATATAGGCAATGTGGAATATAGAGAAGGAAAAACATTTCTTGGTCTTGTTGCTCATGGGAGATGAGAAAATGAGCTGCTTCAATCGGAGGAAGATGGAATGGAAGAGGTGTCCTCAATGCAGAGTTATAATGCAGTTAAGTCTGTCTGCAGAAAATATTAAGGAACTGTGGGGGGAATTTATCTACAATGAAAAAGTGTTCAAAAAAAGGTTCTAAAAAGAGTTAGAAAGAGAGATTTGACAATTACAAGAAAATCTAGGGTAGACTGCACACTTCACTTTCCCATGACATTGAAAAACGCAAAAGGAAGAGGAACAAAAGAATAAATAAGAGGAATGGAGAGAATAATAGAAAGGCAGGTACAAAGAGTAATGGGGAACAAGGTACGTAAGTTGTGTTTTCATAGAAACACAGATTTTTAATTAATTAAAGTACAATTTTTTTTTTTTTTGAGACAGGGTCTCACTCTGTTGCCCAGGCTGGAGTGCAGTGGCGTGATCTCAGCTCACTGCAACATTCACCTCCCGGGCTCAAGCAACTCTCCCACCTCAGCCTCCTGAGTAGCTGGGATTACAGGCATGTGCCACAATGCCCAGCCAATTTTTTGTATTTCTGGTAGAGACAGGATTTCGCCATATTGCCCAAGCTGGTCTCAAATGCCTGGACTCAAGGAATCCACCTGCATCAACCTCCCGAAGTGCTAGAATTACAGATGTGAGCCACTGCACCTGGCCCAAATGTATTTTATTTATCTGAATATCATGAACATCTATTTTGTCACTTCTGAGCCACCAGCACACATCTCAGAAATCTTCGTTTTTCTGGCTTCTTATTAGCTGGCATATCACCTGGACAACATTTGTGTTTCAACACTAATACGCAATTCATATTTTTGGGATTTTTGCACATGGTACATGGTAAGCACTCAATAATATTTGTTGAATCTGAATCTGCAACCTGATATAGACTTTTGCTTATTTTTTTGTTTGAGGCACTGGAATCAGAGGCAATAGTGAAGAAGCAGGTAGAAAGTTGGAGATGAGTAGGAAAAGTAAACGTGAAGCTCAAACCTGATTGTGAACAAATTCTACCTGACTCTGAAGTGCACTCATTTCCACCTAAAGCATGGAACAATTAGACTGAAATAAAACATCTGAAAATCGAGACAGAACTATGCAATATAGTCTCAGTCACCACAATAGTCCTTAGGTAGGGACGCTAATTTTGATAAAGAAGATAATTTGCTAAGATTGGAATTTGCTCCCTATTCTTAGTTGAATGCCCACTTACATGAGGTGGAGAGGTGACTGGAGGTGTGATGCTGAGAAACTATCATGTGCTTCCTGAAAGTACACGTTGGGGACACCCTATTCTTCCCCTTTCTTTGCAGCAGCTCCTTTTCGACTGTTTTCTTCCCCTGCTTCTGGTAACAGGACTCCTCTTTATTATGGAAGAGCTAATCTATGAAACTTAGGTGGAGCAGACTTCTCCCCACAAAGGTGGACACATGACCTAGTCTATGTAATCAGAGTAGTGCATTTCCTTGGCCACAGAGATTGGTTCAACAGTCAAGTCACCCACGCAGAGCCACTCAGAAGCTCCCCAGGGCCCTGCTGGGGAAATAATGAAAAAGAGGGACTTTCTTTTCTCTGGGGTTGCACCTTATGACGAATATAAATCTAGAGCTGCCTGTGGTCATTTAGAGAATGGAAGATATTTTGGAATGGTAAAAGAATACGGTTGGAAAGGGAGAGAGATGGAAAATGAGGCTAGAGAAATGGGCAGGGATCTGATTGATTGTAAAGTATTTATGTGAGAGGCAAAGGCACTGAATGTCCTCCTGCAGGCAAGAGCATATCAACAATGGTTTAAGCTTGTTTGATGGCATGGTGTCTGAAACTGAGGTCTGTCCACCGTTTTTTGTTGTTGTTGTTGTTGCTGTTGTTGTTTTTGAGACAGTTTTGCTCCATCGCCCAGGCTGGAGTGCAGTGGTGCAATCTTGGCTCACTGCAACCTCTGCCTCCCAGGTTCAAGTGATTCTCATGCCTCAGCCTTCTGAGTAGCTGGGAGTACAGGCACCTTCCACCACACCTGGCTAATTTTTGTATTTTAGTAGAGATGAGTTTTCACCATGTTGGCCAGGCTGGTCTCAAACTCCTAGCCTCAGGCGATCTGCCCGCCTTGGCCTCTCAAAGTGCTGGGATTACAGGGATGAGCCATCGTGCCCAGACCTCCTTTTGTTTTTCTAGAAAATAACTGTGTCCTTAGTGTGGAGACGGGAGCATGAAATAATTCAAGAAACAGACCAAGTCTGTAGCTATAGCAATTTTTTCTGCAACTAGTGAATAAATAACAGTACAGGCTGCGACATTGACAATGGGGCTAGGCAAAGACTCTATATTTGTGATAAAATTAATAGGGTTTTAGTGATCTAATGAATATTAAGTTTGAGGGAGAGAAAAGAATCAAGGATCTCTCACAATTTTCCAGTTTAGAACATTGTAAAGATGCAACTCACTAATCTTGTACAGGGATAAAAGTAAACAAGGCATTGAGGGGAGCTGAGGACAAAAAATGACTTTGGATGAGTTAAGTTAGGGAAGTCTGTAATATCCACATGAAGAAATCTTGAGAGTATTATGAAATATAAGCCTGAAGCCCAGGAGAAAGGTTAGTGTGGAGTTATGGAAGTGAGAGTGATCAGCATATGAATTGTAAAGTCACTGATATAAATGGGATTACCCACGTAGAATGAATTATGTGAGAAGACTGACAGAGGAATGAGGAAAAGTTGCCACAGAGAATGAAGAAAATCAAGGAAAAGGTGTTGGTGAAATGAAAACCTACAAAGAAAGAGTTGCAACAGCAGTCAGGAGGTCAGTGTTTCAGGATTAAACAGTGTCCATTAGCTCTGTCACTTAGGAGGTTAACTTGTCCTTACAGTGAACTTTCAGTGCAGTGATAGGGTGAAAGTCAAATTACACTGAGTTGAGAAGTGAGTTAGAGGTGGAAGAAAGTTAAAGAGTAGAGACCATTTAAAAGAAATTTAGATCTGGACAAAAATTGAAAACCAGGGTAGTATATATAGGAGAACAAGAATGTGGAAAGCTTTTTTGTCTGTTTGTTCAGTTTTTTAGATTTGTAATTTGAGGGAAGAGGGGATAATGGACGATCCCTGAAAAATTGAGATGTGATTGTGAAAACAAGTAGATTCTTAAATTAACTTATTTTTATTTTCCTAACAAAATTCAATTTTCTTCTCTTAAAGCTTCTTTTTGTTTGTTTGTTTGTTTGTTTTGTTTTGAGACAGGGTCTTGCTCTATCGCCCAGTCTGGAGTGCAGTGGCGCGATCTCGGCTCACTGCAAGCTCCGCCTCCTGGGTTCACACCATTCTCCTGCCTCAGCCTCCCGATTAGCTGGGACTACAGGCGCCCGCCACCATGCCTGGCTAATTTTTTTTTGTATTTTTAGTAGAGATGGGGTTTCACGGTGTTAGCCAGGAAGGTCTCGATCTGCTGACCTCGTGATCCGCCCATCTCGGCCTCCCAAAGTGCTGGGATTACAGGCGTGAGCCACCGTGCCCCGCCAAAGCTTCTTTTAATGTAACCAAGTCATTATCTAATTATAACTTTTAAAACATAATTTTTAGAAGATCTGTACATGAAAATATAATTTTGGAATGGCACTTTTCTAATGTTTACACTTTTCTAATGTTAGATGAAAAGAATTATGTGCATTCCTAAACACCCCATACATACAATGTAATATTAGAGAAAGCATAAGCAACTATTGTAGCATATCATTTTAAACTCTAAATTGTAGGTTGTTTACAACTCGAATGATACTCCATTTTCAGTTTGATTTATGTTTTGCCTACATTTTACATGTCTTTTAGAACCAGATCTTCTGCCTAGGAGTATTTGTAGCCTCCATCTTTAATCTTAAGATTTGGGTTTTAATGAACACCTACTACATTCTGGTCATTTTTGTCTGCATAATTAAAACCTACAAAGGATCAAAGTGCTTCGCTCCTGAAATCTATAGTAGACATTTAGTTCTATTAAGAGGTAGTATTTTTTATTGGGCTTCATTGCCCAGTTGAGGTCACAAGCAAAACCTGTTTTTGTTACTAGTTTTTGGTTTAAAAAGTTTTCTTTTAGCTTAATTTTTATAAATATGTATTTAATGATATGCATGCTTCCTTTTTCAGGTATACTATATGTGATGAATGAATAGTAGATGAAGTAACCTTTACATAATGTAAAGAGACATTATTTTTGACATTTCCTTTCAATTGAAATGGAATTTATCTTTGTAGCTACTTACATACTGAGTTACACTACACTGACATATAATGACAGTCCAGTAAATTATATTGTTTAAAGTTGATATAAATTTAAGAAAAAATAGAAATTAATATGAAATTAACTCATATATATATATATATATCTTTAAAGACAGCTTGCACACATCACATGTGTTCAGTTAGGATTTTATTAACCAACTCAAAGAATATTGCTGCACTCAGTTTGTTGATGTTCAGAAAAGTCAACAGACCCACCTTTAAAGTTCATCTCCTGATATAAACACAAATAATGTTTTCCTCCTGGCATGAAAGCACAAGATGTAATTCAGATATGGTAACTTTATGTCAAATGACAGTCACATAGATCATTGGCCAGAAAGAACATCAGTACAAGAAAGAGAGAAAATCCAATACTGAAACTGACGTCTATTGAAATAATCTTATCTAAATTGCAGAAACAAAGATTAGTTTACAGTGTGCACTTTACATAAGAAGTCATTCCTAATCTAACCCACAATGAAAGAGCTCTTGACAGAGGGTGTGCTTTGTTCCTACTCTCCCTTCCTTCTTAGCTCTCTTGGTGCCTGAACATAGATGAAATCACTATTAGAAAGAAAGAGAAAAAGCATAGAACATTTAACATTAAGGAGATTGAAATGATGGTTAAACACTGGAGGAGTCTCTTTAAAATTTTCCTGATGCTGGTTGTTTAATCTCAGAATAGTTCCCATAAGGACAGGATTAAACAGAAGCACACATGGTTACAAAATGTAAGAAATAGCTACATGCTTTTATAATTGTGCACTTAAAAGCACAAAAACACCATATTAATCACATTTTATTTGAATAAAGAAGAAATATAAGGAGATAGATTTTGAAATATATATGAGAGTTCTTGAACAACTTGGACTGGTGATCTTAAAATCTAAGTTTTCTTTGTTCTTTAATTGAATCCTTCACGGATGAGGGAAAACTCAGCCCCTCATCCCTGCTGTTTGACACCTCTGTGAGCTTTTGTGCTGTTTTAGCAATGTTCAGACAACGCTGGCACGAAAACTGAGCAACACACAGTTAAGGAAGAACAAACTAAATTCTGCATCCCCACTATCCCACAGATAGCAGTAGATGCATGCACATGAATGTGCCTCGGGGTCTAAATCAGTGATGTTGTTTCCAACTAATATCTCTCACACTAAACATTGATCTTCATTGAACAACAGGTTTGACTTCCTTTTCTTTATTTCAGTCCTTACATTTTAGTGTGGGTTCAAGGTAGAGATTTGGAGAAATAGCAGAAAAGAAGAGAGTGAGTTGTCAAAGCAGTGATGTGTTTTTTGCCTTACAGTAAAGACAGAGAAGCCCAGAATTCAGGTTTTCACTTGCATAAAGCCTTATTTTCCTCTGTAGTCCTTAACGTTCTTGTCCTTTTCTTGCCTTAAACTTTTATTTGCCTCCAATGTAAAATGGAACTATGACTTATGATTCTGGTAAAGAATAATTTAATTTAAGTTCTTTAAAGATGAAAATAGGATAATATTATTATTAAGCAGTATAAATTTCTTGTGAAGAATAAAAAGGTTTCCTCCTCAAAGAAATCATCCTGTATATAAGAGAAAATTCTAATTTGATTGAAAGACAATATAACTGAAGTAGATACAAAGCCTTATAGTTTATAAAGTATTTTATATCACATTCCTATTTAATTTTTACAATAATGTTATAATAGAAGTAAGGCTAACATTATTATTTCTATTATACAAAAGAGAAAACTGAGGTCTAGAGAGAACAAGTAATTTGTCAGAGACCAACCAGCTATGAAATGTGTAGCATGGACTCAAATTCAGTTCTTCTGTCTCCAAATCAATGTTCTTCCTCTATGTTATAAAGTCTCCTAAAATGACCTGCTTTGTCCCACTTTAATTAATATGATTTTATTAATATGATTCTCTTTTTCCACAAGTAGAAAATACGGCATTTCCTTTTAAGGGAAGCAAAGCTCTAGTCTACGTTTTAGAAAAAGATTTCTCATGTGGAGCTTTATACTGGGGGCACTGAGGGATGGAGTATACAGTGTCCTCAGCTATCTCAGTCTTGTGAATGCTTTATCCATCTTTGAAAGTTGTACATTGCTTTAGACATTTGATTAAATATAAGAGCTTGTCATTAAAGTGCAACTCAAGAAAAATAAGTTTGAAGAGGAGTGAAGGCAATTTTATCCATGAAGGCAGCTTTCTACTGACATTTAGTACACCACAAGGCCCTAGATTAGCCCAAGAATATGACTATCTTACTCTACTGATATTTGTAGTAAGACTGATTCAACTGTAAGAGATAAAAATTAAACTCAAACAGCTTAGGCAAAAAGGGAAATTGCTGGCCTATGGAGGCAAACTGTAAAGGGCAGGAACATCTGGAACTGAGGATCTGAATGTCATAATGACTCTTTTCATTTTGGTCTTTGCATCTTTTCACACATTGGCTTCACTCTCTGAGACTAATTTTCTTCTCATAAGTGGGGCATAGCTACAAACAACTTTAAAGCTCATATTCTTGAATGCTTCCTTCTGGGAGAAGAGGGAACTCCAAGCAATACTTACTACTCTATTTTTCTAGAGTAGAGAAAAATCTAGATTTGGCCAAGCTTCTGTTATGTGCCCATCTCTGAGATAAATAATTGTTTAAAGACATTTAACTGTCACAATTGATCCAACTATTGGCTAAACCAATAGTTAAAGCCAGAGAGGAGTTGTGATGGCAATTCCTATTGGAAACATAGGTTTCTGGTGGTGGGGGTGGGGGAGACTAAATGATGAGTGCCAGTTTCCCTTCACCTCTGAATGGAAGAAGCAATTGTGGGCAAAGGAACAATGGATGTCAGATGTTTCACTACAAGCTTTATACTGCAATATTTCCAAATGATTTTTTCCTCAGCTATGTTCACATGAAACAAACATGTTACTTGCTCCACCTTATTTCAGTTTTCTTACCTTAGCAATACTTATTTATTAATGTATTCCTTTTACTATTCCCCAAAAGATCTAGGGTGTTATCAAAGATTGATTACCCTCAAAAAACCAGGATAATCTAACATAAAAATTAGTTTATTTTAGTAGTTAAAAGAATAAGTTCCAAAGTGAGATTTCCAGAGTTCAAATCCTGGGTGATCACTTGCCAGCTATATGACCTTGAACAAGCTTCTCCCTAGGCAGAAGATGGAGCTTTAACTTTCATCATTGAAAGCTTTAACTTTCAATGCTAATTAATTTAGCATTGATGAAAATCTTTTCTTCTTGTCGATGCCAGGCTTTCTGGATCATGATGTCTAAGTCCCAGTGGATTCTGAGATTCTGCATAGCATGAAAATCATGCTGTGTGCTCAAACCTTCACCCCACCCTCAATAGCGTTAGGTAGTTATGTTAAAGTTAAAAGAGACAAAAGAGATACGATTCCAACTTCATTCTCACTGACAGCAAATAAAGGTTGTAAATGTGTTGGCTATAGGCACATAAGTTCTGAAAAAAATACTTTTTCCCGTACTGGGTGCCTCCCTTTGCTCAGGTGTGTTCAGTGTGGTTAGCAAGCCTGTGTGACCACCAGCCTCACTTCTCAATAACAGAAAGGTAGACTCTGAGTAATCAACTTCAAATATAGTTTCTATTTTGTCGTTAAACTCAGAATCCAGTAGTTAGTTTTAATTGCTCATTCCATAGAAACAAAATAGCTGCTCATGAACTTTAACATGTGTCAACAATTAGTCAATATTAGTCAATACCCTCTGCCTTCATTTCCAAGTGTTTCCAAATTCTGTTCTGTAGATAAACATATTTGCTTCTTCAACTATTACTACTCTGGTTTCTATCTCCACTCCACTGCTACAGGAGATAATTATATGTATAAATCTCTCTCTCTCTCTCTCTGTGTATATATATATGTATATATATGTGTGTACATATGTGTGTGTATATATTTAATACAAATGTATAAACCAAACACTGTCCTCAGCATTTTACATACAACATCTCATCTAAATCTCACTATAACTTCATAAAGTAAGCATTACTTTTCCCATTTTATGGAAGTTCAAAGAAGTTAAGTGATTTCTCAGAAGTCATAGACAGTTAAGTGGCCAACAAAGAATTAAAATGCAAGTCGGTGTGTTTCTATAGTACATGTTGAATACATGCACACATCTGATCACATGAAAGACAGGCCTATCACATTTGCAAGAGACATCAATCTATGTGGTCTGGCTAATCAGTTGATCACTAAATCAAAAATTTTATAGGCTGCAATAAAGGGATGAAATAAATAGATGCAACAAAACTGGCTTAAATGTAGTCCTACAATGAAGTTTGAAATAATCAATTACACATTAATAAGATTAAGAAGATCTAACTTAACAATACAAAATATTTCTTAAAAATGCCCTGATCATTTTATCTGACAGAAAGATCAATTTAAGTCAACACTGTAATTAATATCTTAAGAAAGCCAATGTAAATGTTGACTACATTAATAGCATATTATTTAGGTCAATAAAGTCAACAAAAGTAAAACTTCATTGTGCCATGCAGAATTATGGCTGCTCCACTTTAACAAGGAAATAATTTAAAAGACACATAAAGAATATAGTACAGAATCTAGAAACGATGTCACATGAGAAATTATTCAGCATATGGGGATTTGTATGTCTAGGAAAGAGAAGATTGGGCAAGGAAGAATGTAGAGATGTTTGTTAGGTGTCTTCAAACCCTTGGAAGGGTGGACTCTGTATTGTTTTATAGCAGGGGTCCCCAACCTCTGGGGCCACGGACCAGTACTGGTCCGTGGCCTGTTAGGAACTGGACTGCACAGAAGGAGGTGAGCCACGGGCAAGTGAGCATTACCACCTGAGCTCCGCCTCCTGTCAGATCAGCAGCAGCATTAGATTATGATAGGAGCGCAAGCCCTATTGTGACCTGCGCTCGCAAAGGATCTAGGTTGCACATTCCTTATGAGAATCTAACTAATGCCTGATGATTTGAGATGGAAGTTTCACCCACCACCCTGTCTCCCATCTCTGGCCCTGGAAAAATTGTCTTCCATGAAACTGGTCCCTAATGCAAAAAAGGTTGAGGACCACTGTTTTACAGAACAGAAGAAAAGGCTGATAGGCACAAATTATAGAAGAGTACGTTTCAGCATGTGGTGAAGACTGACTTAGTTGCTCAACAGGAGAAAGGGATACAACACAAAAGAATGAGATTTATTCATTTGTTTTCATAATACATGTTCATGGGAAGGCCAGATGACTATTTGTAAAGATTCTATCAAAGAGATTATTAAAAATTACCCACCAGATTGTCTTATACAAGGAAATTGAACTAAATGTAGCCTTTAAAACTAAAAATAGTATAAAAAATTTTTTCTTGCCCAATTATATTCCTTATGATAGAATTTATTAAGAATGTTATATCATCCTTATATAACATGTTTTCCCTCCATCAATACTCCCCCCAGAATAGCAAAGTTTCTGTAAAATTGTTTTAGTGTCTGTATCTGGATTTATCCACTACAATCGCTGCCTGATATCCCATCAATATCACCAAGTCTTTGTGTTATAATGTCAACTCCAGGTTTTACCTCTCATTTAAAATGTAATTTGTTGCACATATTTCTGTAACTTGAATTGAAAAAGGTCTGAGAGTGAGTGTTGTCACGTAAACTTTAAAGCTTAAGCCAACTGCTGATTGCTAATATTAATGTTTTCATGTATTTGCATTTATTATCCCTCAATTATTAAGTGCTAGGTTTGTGGCAAGTAAGGTTTTCATTTTAAAATGAGTCAAACAATTTATAAAAATATTTTATTCATCTTAAAAAATTTTTAATAAATAAAAGTTGCTAATATATAAATCATGGAAACATGACAGGTAAAGTCGAAGTTTATAGAAAATATTTCCTCTTGGAAATACCCCCGTCAGATCTGTTTTGCCAGTTTAAAAGAAAATATATATTCTCAAAATTTCTTCTACACATTTTTCTTGCAAATTCTTGTACATTTTGAAGTTAAGATTTGTAATAGTTGTAAAGTTGGCATGTGAGGAGGAATTAGTTATTAATGAACTACATCTTGTTCATGGGAAACAGAGTTGAACCATCTTGAGTACTTCTGAAACCTAGAGGTTAATGTTTAAAATTACTGAAGGGAAGGTGGAGCTTTTTTTTCCCTAAGTCATAAAAAGGAATAATTGCAATGACACACCACAGTATGCATTTTATACTGTTGAATGATGGCAGCTTCACATTTGGCTCCATGCCTCAGAGGCCTAGCACACCCAGAGAGCATTGTAAAAGCTACCTAACGCACACCCTGGCGTGCGTGTGCTCACTTTTACAGCGAGCAATAATTTTAAAGGAACATACAGTACCCACCAAGAAGCTTGTTCAGAAGACACAACGTAAATCACTAGGAACACAAAACTTATGTACAATATTTTTACTAATAAGTTAATAAATAACAATCCTGGTGTGACATGTTTAAACAAATAGTGATTATATACCATTTTAAATGTTTTAGTGAAATATTTAGACTCTAAATATTTTCTGATGATGATAAGATCATAAAGATTTCAGAATCCAGTATCTGGATGAATAAGCCTACAATCTTGAAAATGGTTTTCTGCTGCTTTTCAGTCGTACCACATTTTTCAAGTAAGAACAAGTTGTTTCTTTTGGAGGTATAATGTTATACCAACTGTAGTAGAATTATAAAACTTCTTTTTTTTTTTTTTTTTTGAGACGGAGTCTCGCTCTGTCCCCCAGGCTGGAGTGCAGTGGCGCAATCTCGGCTCACTGCAAGCTCCGCCTCCCGGGTTCACGCCGTTCTCCTGCCTCAGCCTCCCGAGTAGCTGGGACTACAGGCGCCCGCCACCACGCCCAGCTAATTTTTTGTAGTTTTAGTAGAGACGGGGTTTCACTGTGTTAGCCAGGATGGTCTCGATCTCCTGAACTCATGATCCGCCCGCCTCTGCCTCCCAAAGTGCTGGGATTACAGGCGTGAGCCACCGCGCCCAGCCAAAACTTCTTAAAGTTAATATTTTTTCCAAATCAGGATGCGGAAAATATGTTAAAATCCATAAATTATACCAAAGTAATCATTTAAATACTTGTGGTAATTATGAACTAGTGTTCATAAATAAAGGACAAGAACTCTGATTATCCTGGATAAGTTTTTTTTCTTTATACTCTGAGTGGACCATCTACAACATTCATAAGAATGAACCATCCATCAGAGGCAGCTCCAGGTTTGGCACAGACTTTAGTTTGCATAATCTGTTGGGATTAGGGGCTGCCTCTTTAAAAACATAAATACATATATAAGAAATGAATAATTAGAATGAGAAAAAAATCACAGTGAATCACTGGAAACTTAAAAATTCAGCCTAGTGTCTTCTAAGATGCCTTTAGGCAGTTTGTAGGAAAAGTTTGTATTATCCTGGTTGCAATTTGGCTTCCCTTCCACACTTGGAACTCTGCAGTTCCCAGCATCTCCAAGTGCTCAAGGTTCCCATGCGAATGAAGGCCCTAACGCTTATGTTTTATTTGTTTCATGATAACTTTACCTGTGCTGACCATATATAATATTGGTGGGGAAAAAATAGTGGCAAGAAGTATTGTTTCTGACCCTGCCTCCTTCAGAGTTCATAGTTATAGAATGAATTTAAGATTGTGGGCAAGAGCCAGATCAAGAGCCAGGTTTAGAGCTCACCCTTAAAAGAAAATTATTTAAATGTTGTATTTTATAATTTCAGCTTTATATTTCGCTTTCTTATGTACTATCAACTGGGAGAGATTAATGTGCAGATATGGGAACAATCCACATTTTCAAGGGCTCTGATTCTAAAGCAAAATGGGGACTAGGAATGTTGGAAGTGTTGTTTTTATTCTCAGCAATCTGAAATGTACACATACATATATAGCTTTGTAATTATAATAGCAACACAGTACACATAATCAGTAGTTTGTAACTCCTGTCAATGAATCCTCTAGGAAACAGATGCCATTTTGGTGCTGTGGACACAAGAAGGGAGTAAACCTCTGAAGATTCTTAATTTGTTTTATTTTATTTTTAGAGATGCATCTTGCTCTGTCACCCAGGATGAATAATAAGACAATCACAGGACTGGAGCCTACCCTAAAGAGCTAGATGACCCAGTTCTTTACTGCTAGGCAGGTTTGTACCTTCAGAATCCAAGAAGAATGGCTGTCATCTCACCCTGAATATGATTTGTCTCAAATGATCAGACCTTCAGAAATATGTTAAATCTATGAAATTCTTTTTCTTTTTCATTTTTCTCATTGTTATTAAAATGACTTTTGCCGATTCATTTCCATGTCTTTTTATTCCCCACTATTCTTTAGAGTAGAAGAATTTAAGCAACTACCTGAAACAGGTGAGTTTTTATAGGCAAGGTTTATAATTGACAAGAAAAATGTTATATCTGAAACCATATTCTTTTCTAGAAAAAATACTTGGTATGAATTTTTATTCTATATTTGAGACATTTTTTCAGATATGCAATTTACCATTCTCAACACTAATAATTTTCTCTTTTCTGTCACATGCACTCCAAGGCTCTATCATTCTCATTCTTAGTGCTCAGATGTCCTTTCCACATATTCAGAAGTTCCCTGCTAGCTTGTTAAATCAACAGTGCATTCCTCTTCTGATGATTACAGCCACTCGAGGGTGGAGGATGAGGAAAGTGAGCAGGGAGAGAAAAAGCAGAAGATGTCCTGGGAGAGAAAAGGAGAGCACAATTTGGAGTGGCGAGTAAGGATGTCCCTTTTTCTATCTAGTAAAATAGAAGTCCCTAAATTCTCAAGTTTAATATAAGCTGGAGCTACAGAGAAACCATTCATTCATTTATTTGACAATTTTTTTAGTGCATACTGAGAACCATGTCTAGGCAATATGGATACATTAGTGAACGAAACTATAAAATTCCTCCCCTTGTGAAGTTTATATTTTAGATGAGATGGTTGTGGGATAGAGAGAAAACTAAGTAAATTATTTAGTATATTAAAAGATAATAAATGCTTTGAAGAAAACTAAGACAAGCCATCAAGGTAGGAAGTGCTTCAGGGCAGGGGTGGAGAGTAAAAATTTGACTCAGACACTGAACAGGTGACATTTGTGCAAAAAACTCAAAAAGGTGAAATAACAAGGCATGCAGTTATTAAAGAAAAGAGAATCCAGAGAAAAGAAAATCAAATGTAATTGCCTAAGGAGGAGTACGTTCAGGATGTCCAAAGAAGGGCAAGGAATTAGTGTGGCAGGAATTGAGGGGAGATGGGATCATAAGAATAACAAGAAGTCAGTGTGTGATCCATTATAGTAACTTTAGCTTTACTCTGAGTTAAAAAAAAAAAAAGCCACAACTTATTACATGTTTTTAAGCAGTGGGGTGGTATAATCTGACATTTTTCAAGAAGAAACACTCTGCTACTGTGTTGAGAATAGGATATGGGAAGCCTGGGAAAAGCCGGGGAGAGGTTATTACTATATTTCAGGCAAGAAGTGATGGTGGCATACAACAGGGTGGAACCAGTCGAGTAGCAGGGGTTGTATTCCAGACATATTTTGAAAGGTGAGCAAACAGGATTTGTTTGATGGATTGCCTGTAAAAGAAAAAGAGGAGTCATCGATGACTGCGAGATTTTTAATCTGAACAACTGAAAAGGTTGCCTGAAATAGGGAAGACTGTGTGCGTGTTTAGGCAAAGACAGACAATCAGGAAGTCAGTTTTGTTTAGGCAAGGACAATCAGGAAGTAAGTTTTGTACATAACTTTGAGATGTTTATTGGCCATCCAAGTGGAGATGTCAAAATAGATAGTTTGTGGATGAGGCTTGAGTTTAGGAAGCAGGTCCAGACTGGAGGTATCAGATTATGGATAGTGTTTAAAGCCATGTGATTAAAGGAGTTCGTCAAGCGAGCAAACATAGACAGAGCAGTCCAAAGATTGAGAAGATTGAACCCTGGGACACTCTAGTGTTCAGAAATCAGGTGAATAATTAAAATCTAGCAAAGAAGATTAAAATATAGTTGGCAGTAAGGTAGGAGGCAAAGCAGGAAAGTGGGTATCAAGCAAGTAAGAGTGGGATGACTTAATCACACATCAGCCTTGAAAAGCATTTACTGGAGGGGAATCTAGAAGGAGATGCAGTGGCAGATTCCCATCACACTTTGGGGCAGTGCACAGGGATCCAGGAGGGCTGACTCTTGTATTCCAATCGAGGAACCCCAGCCCTTCAGCTGGTAGGCCTGAAAAGCCGCATGACTGAGAAGCCCACACTTTCCCCTGAAGTGTGTAGTTCTATTTGTAAAATGGGGCACAGGCTCCCAGCTTGTTTCTGTGTGTGATTAACCAGGGGGAATTCTCAGGGAGAAAAGGAGTAGGTGGGCCACAGAGAAATGGAAGGAAAGCACCATTTACACGGCACTGCAGACAAAAAAGCAAAGTGTAAGTGTGTGTGTGTGTGTGTGTGTGTTAAAACAAGGGGCAAAGAGGAACAAAAAGAGAAGAGTAAACTGATAAAGAGACAATGTAACAAAAATATATAACTATCATGAACATATATGCCCCTCTCCCCTAACACTCCATTCCCTCTGGCAGTTTTAATTGTCAAGTACATTCAGATGGTTTGGCCTTCATTCATGCCATTTGAGGTCCATGCGCACCTCAACATTCAGCATGCTCAGAATTGAGCTCATTCTCATTCGATCCCATTATAACCAACCCCCCTCCAAAAAAAACCACACACCAAATGTATTTGTCTTTCTGTATTCCCTTAGTGTATGATACCTGTTTTAGTTTTTCTGGGTGAAAAATAACCACAAAGTCTCAGTGGCATATGACAATATGCATTTATTTCTCACTTAATGGGTCTGTGATTTAGTAGGCAGTTTCTCCTTCAAGGTTGTGGGTTACTTTCAGGTCTGTTTCATGAGTTTAATTCTGAGACCCACATTGAAGGGGGCAGTGGCTACCTCAGGCATGTTCTTCTTTTGACGGAGGTAAGAAGCTTCCAGAGGCATGAGTGGATACACGTGAGGTCTCTGAAATCCTAACTCAAATGAGCACACCCTGTCGTTTTGCCCACATGCCATTGGCCAAGACAAGCCATGGGCTAAGGCCAACATTGCCTGGGGGAGGAGGGATGTGTGGAGGGGGTGAATATTTCCTGAATGTTATCTAATTTTTCACAGCACCACTCTCCACCCACGATCTACCTTACTTTTCTTGACTCCTTTTTCTTCCCCCTGCCCATCAACAAATCTGAAATGCATTCCTAGCAGCACTGCTTATCTGTCCAGACTCATCTATTATTTTTATCCTCCAAGTTAAACTGAACTGCTGATTGTTCCCTGCACTCTCTTTTGCTCAATTTTTTTAACCTACCTCAGAAGCAAGAATAGAGCGTCTCTACCTTCAGATCCCCAAAACATATTTGGGGATTCTATTATCCATCCATCAGCCTCTTGAATGTGCACCTCTAGTGGGCATTCAACAATGCTGCACCGTTACATCATATCATTATTACCATCATCTTAGTTTATGTTAATTGAATATTTATTAGGCATTATGCCCTGAGCTAACTGCTTGACATATAAATATATTATGCCCCATTTAATCCTTACAACTTCCTTAGGAAGAAGATACTATTAATTCTCTCAATTATTTTGATGGGGAAATTAAGATTAGCTATAATATATCTTCCCTAAAGTTACAGTGACAATTTGTGGAGGAGACTCAATAAGGTTTTTTAAATTAACAAATAATTGGCTGGGCACGGTGGCTCACGCCTGTAATCCCAGCACTTTGGGAGGCCGAGGCGGGCAGATCACGAGGTCAGGAGATCAAGACCATCCTGGCTAACACGGTGAAACCCCATCTCTACTAAAAATACAAAAAATTAGCTGGGTGTGGTGGCAGGAGCCTGTAGTCCCAGCTGCTCAGGAGGCTGAGGCAGGAGAATGGCGTGAACCCGGGAGGCGGAGGTTGCAGTGAGCAGAGATTGCGCCACTGCACCCCAGCCTGGGGAACAGAGCAAGACTCCGTCTCAAAAAAAATTAATTAATTAATTAATTAACAAATAATTGTACATATTTTGTGGGATACATAGTGATGTTTTGATACATGTAATGCATAGTGATCAGATCAGGGTAATTAGCATATGTATTATCTCAAACATTTATCATTCCTTTGTATTGGGAACATTCAATATTCTCCTTCTGGCTATTAGAAACTATATATTTTTGCTAACTATAGTCACCCTACAGTAGTATAGAAAACTAGAATTTATTCCTCGTATCTAACTGTAACTTTGTGTCCTTTAACAGATCTTTTCTTATCCCTCTTTTTCCCCTACACTTCCCAGCCTCGTGTATTCTGTATTTTATTTTTTACTTCTAGAAGATCAACATTTTTTAGCTTCCTTATATGAGGGAGAATATTTGGTGTTTAACCGTCTATTTCTGGCTTATTTCACTCAACATAATGTCCTCCTGTTGCATCCCTGTGGCCACAAATGACAGGATTTCATTCTTTTTTATGGATGAATAGTATTCAATTGTGTATATATACCACATTTTCTTTATCTTTTCATCTGTTATTGGATACCTAGGTTGATTTCCATATTTTGGATATTGTAAATAATACTGCAATAAACATGAGAGTGCAGATGTCTTTTTGATATAATGATTTCTTCTCCTTTGGATAAATTCCCAGTAGTGGGGTTGCTGGATCATATGGTAGTTCTACTTGTAGTTTTTTTTTTTTTCCAACAGATTGTGGAGTATAGGTGGTTTTACAGAGATGAGTTCTTTAGTGGTGAATTCTAAGATTGCAGTGCACCCATCACCTAAGCAGTGTACACTGTACCCAGTATGTACTCTTTTATCCCTCCTGCCTCAATCTATCCCTCTAAGTCCCTGAAGTCCATTGTATCACTCTGTATGTTTTTGCATCATCATAGCACACTCCCCACTTAAAAGTGAGAATATTCAGTATTTGGTTTTCCATTCCTGAGTTACTTCACTTACAATAATGGCCTCCAGCTCCATCCAAGTTGCTGCAAAAGACATTATTTCATTCCTTTTTATGGCTGAGTAGTATTCCATGGTGCATATATACCACATTTTCCTTATCCACTTCTTTGTTGGTGGGCACTGAGGTTGATTCCATATCTTTGCAATTGTGAATTGTGCTGCTATAAATATGCATGTGCATGTGTCTTTTTCATATAATGACTTCTTTTCCTTTGGGTAGACACCCAGTAGTGTGATTGCTGGATCAAGTGGTAGAACTACTTTTAGTTCTTTCAGGAATCTCTACACTATTTTACATAGTGCTTGTACTGATTTACATTCCCATCAGCAGTGTAAAATGTTCCCTTTTCACCACATCCATGCCAACATCTGGCCATTCTTGCAGGACTAAGGTGGTATCTCATTGTGGTTTTAATTTGCATTTCCCTGATAATTAGTGAGGTTGAGCATTTTTTCATATGTTTGCTGGAAGCATATCTTCTTTTGAGAAATGTCTATTCATGTCCTTTTCCCACTTTTTGATGAGATTGTTTGTTTTTTTCTTGCTGATTTGTTTGAGTTCCTTGTAGATTCTGGATATTAGTTTTTTGTCAGATGCATAGTTTGTGAATATTTTCTCCCACTCTGCGGATTATCTGTTTACTCTGTTGATTATTTCTTTTGCTGTGCAGAAGCTTTTTAGTTTAGTTAGTTCCCATTTATTCATTTTTGTTTCTGTTGCATTTGCTTGTAGGGTGTTAGTCATGCATTCTTTGCCTAAGCCACCGTCCAGAAGTTTTTCCAATGATATCTTCCAGAATTCTTATAGTTTCACATCTTAGATTTAAGTCTTTGATCGATATTGCGTTAATTTTTGTATAAGGTGAGAGGTGGGGATTCCGTTTCATTCTTCTGCATGTGGCTTGCCAGTTTTCCCAGCATCATTTATTAAATAGGGTGTCCTTTCCCAATTTATGTTTTTGTATGCTTTGTTGAAAACCAGTTGACTGTAAGTACTGTTTGTAGTTTTTTTGAGGAACCTCCAAATTGTTCTTCATAGTAGTTGTATTAATTTACATTGCCGCAAACAGTGTATAAGAGCTCCCTTTTTTCCACATTCTTACCAGCATTTGTTATTTTTTGCCTTTTTGATAATAGCCATCTAATTGGGATGAAATGGTACTTTATTGTGGTTTTGATTTGCATTTTTCTGATAATTAGTGATGTTGAGTATTTTTTCATATATTTTTGGCCATTTGTATGTCTTCTTTTGAGGAGTATCTGTTCAGATCATTTGCCCATGTTGAAGTCAAATAGTTTTTTTTTTTTTTTTTTTTGCTGTTGACATGTTTGAGTTCCTTATATATTCTGAATATTAATTCCCTGTTGGGTGAGTAGTTTGCAAATATTTTCTCCCATTCTGTAGGTTGTCTTTTCACTCTGTTGATTGTTTACTTTGCTGTGAAAAAGCTTTTTATCTTGATATAATCCCACATATTTATTTTTGCTTTTATTTCTTGTGCTTTTGAGGTCTTATTAATAAAGACTTTTTCCAGACTAACGTCCTAGAGCATTTCCCATTTTCTTCTAGTCATTTTATACTTTGTGGTGTTACATTTAGGTTTTTGATCCATTTTGAGTTGATTTTTTTCTTTTTTCTTTTATTTTTATTTTTATTTTTTGTGTGTAAGTTGATCTTTTTAATAAAGTGAGAGGTGGGGGGGTCTAGTTTCATTCTTCTGCATATGGATATCCAGTTTTTGCAGAACCGTTTATTGAAGAGACTGCCCTTTCCCTGGCAAGTGTTCTTGACACCTTTGTCAAAATAGGTTGGCTGTAGATAGGTGGATTAATTTCTGGGTTCTCTATTCTCTTCCATTGGTCTATGTGTCTGCTTTTATGCCAGTACCACACTGTTTTGGTTACTACAACTTTATAGTATATTTTGAGGTTTGGTACTGTGATGTCTCCAGTTTTATTCTTTTTGCTCAGAATTACTTTGGCTATTTGAGGTCTTTTGTGCTTACACACAAATTTTAGAGTTTTTCTTCTATTTCTGTGAAGAATGTCATTGGTGTTTTGATAAGGATAGCATTGAATCTGTAGATTGCTTTGAGTAGTATTGCAATGTTAACAATATTAATTCTTTCAACCCATAAGCATGAACATCTTTCAATTTTTTTGTATTCTCTTTAATTTCTTTCATCAGTGTTTTGTAGGTTATTTGCAGAGGTTTTTCTGCAGAGGTTTTTCATCTCCTTGGTTAAATTTATTCCTGAGTATTTTTTTGTAGCTATTGTAAATGTGATTGCCTTCTTGAGTTTTTTTTCAATTAGTTTGTTATTTGTGTATAGACACTACTAATTTTTATATATTAATTTTATATCTTGCAACTGTACTGAATTCATTCATCAGCTCCAAAAGTTTTGGTACAGCCTTCAGGTTTTTCTGTATATAAAATCATGTCATCTGCAAACAGGGGCAATTTGACTTCTTTCTTTCCAATTCGAATGCCTTTTCTTTTTCTTGCCTAAGTGCCCTGGCTAGGACTTTCAGTACTATGTTAAGTAAGAGTGGGCAAGCTTGTCTTGTTTCAGTTCTTAGAGGAAAAGCTTTCAATTTTTCCCCACCCAGTATAACATTGGCTGTGAGTCTGTCACATATGACCTTTATTTTGCTGAGGTTTGTTCCTTCTATGTAGAGTTTGCTGAAGGTTTTTATCATGAAGGGATGCTAAATTTATCAAATGCTTTTTCCAAGTCTATTGAGATAAGTATATGGTTTCTGTCTTACTTTCTATTGTTGCGATATATCACTTTTATTGATTTACATGAATTCTTGCATTCCTAGTATAAATCCCACTTGATCATGATGTATTATCTTCTTGAAGTACCGTTGAATTTAGTTTGTTAGTATTTTGCTGAGAATTTTTATCTGTATGTTCATTAGGGATATTGGCTGGTCGTTTTTTTGTTGTTGTTGTGTCCTTCTCTGCTTTTAGTATCAGAGTTACGCTGGCCTCATAGAATAAGTTCAGAAAAATTCTCTCCCCTTTAATTGTGTGGAATACTTTTGAGAAGAATTGGTATTAATTCTTCTTAAAGGTTTAGTAGAATTCAGCAGTGAAGCCATCTAATCCTGGGCTTCTGGTTGTTGGGGGAATTTTTATACTGATTCAATCTTGTTATTTGTTATTGATCTGTTCCAGTTTTCTATTCCTTCTTAGTTCAGTCTTGGTAGGTTCTATGTGTCCAGGAATTTATCCATTTTCTCCAGGTTTTAAAATTTATTAGTGTATAGGTGTTCATAGTAGTCTATCATTATCATTTGTATTTCTGTAGTATGTCTTGTACTGTCTCCTTTTTTTGTTTCTCATTTTATTTGCTTGGATCTTCTTTCTTTTTTCTCAGTCTAGCTAATGGTTTGTCTGTTTTATCTTTACAAAACACCAACTTTTTGTTTTGTTGATCTTTTGTATTTTTTGGTCTCAATTTATTTTATTTCTGCTCTGATCTTTACTATTGTTTCCTTTTCCTAATTTGGGGTTTGGTTTATTCTTGCTTTTCTAGTTCCTTGAGTGCATCACTAGGTTGTTTCTTTGAAATCTTTCTAGTTTTCTAATGTAGGCATTTATTGCTATAAATTTGCATCTTAATGCTGCTTTTTTTGTGTTCCATAGGTTTTGATATGTTGTGTTTCTATTAATATTTTCATTTGTTTCAAAAAAGTTTTAAATTTTATTCATAATTTCTTCCTTCACTCATTGGTTGTTCAGGAGCATGCTGTTTAATTTCTATGTATTTGTATAATTGTGAAGGTTCTTCTTGTTATTACTGTGTAGTTTTATTCCATTGTGGTCAGGTGAGATACTTCATAAGATTTCTATTTTTAAAACTTTTTTGAGACTTTTTTTCTTTCTTGACATATAGTCAGTCCTGGAGAATGTTCCGTATGCTGGTGAAACATATGTGTATTCTGCAGCTATTGGCTAAAATGTTTGTAAATATCTACTTAGTCTATGGTACTGCTTAAATTCAATATTTTTATGTGGATTTTCAGTCTAGATCATCTGTCCAATGTTGAGAGAGGGGTGTTGAAGTCCCCAGCTATTATTGTGTTGGAGTCTATTTCTCCCCTTAGAGCTAATGATATTTGCTATATATATATATATATCTGGATGCTCCAGTGTTGAGTGCACATGTATTTACAATTATTATATTCTTGCTGAATCAATCACTTTTTTATTATAGTATATCATTCTTTGTCTCTTTTTGGAGCTTTTGATTTGAAGTCTTTCTTGTCTAATATAATTATAGCTACTCCTGCTAAATTTTTTTTCCATTTGCATGAAATATCTTTTCCATGTCTTTACTTTCAGTCTATGTGTCTGTAGAGATGAGATGAGTTTCCTATAGGCAGTATATATAGTTGGGTCTTTAAAAAAAATCCATTTTTCCAGTCTATATCTTTTAAATAGGGAATTTAATTCATTAACACTCAAGGTTATTATTGATAAGTGAAGACTTATTCTTGTCATTTTATTGATTTTTGTTTGTTTGTTTTTAAGACAGAGTCTTGCTCTGTCACCCAGGCTGGAGTGCAGTGGCGCGATCTTGGCTCACTGCAACTGCTGCCTCCCAGGTTCAAGCAATTCTCCTGCCTCAGCCTCCCGAGTAGCTGGGTTTACAGGTGCCCACCACAATGCTCGGTTAATTTTTGTAATTTTAGTAGAGACAGGGTTTTGCCATCCTGGCCAGGCTGGTCTTGGACTCCTGACCTCAGGTGATCCGCCCACCTCAGCCTCCCAAAGTGCTGGGATTATAAACAGGAGCCACTGCACCCAGTCATTTTATTGATTGCTTTCTGTTTTTTTTTTTTGTTGTTGTTGTTGTTTGTATATCCTTTGTTCCTTACTTCTCCTCCTAGTGTTTATTTTTAGGGTTGGTGGTTTTCCATAGTGATAAGCTTTGATTCCTTTTTTTTCCTTTGTGTATCAGCTCTATCAATTTTATAGTTTTGAATGTTTTCATTATAGTGGTTATTGTCTTTTCACTTTCAAATATAAGACTCCTTTGAGCATTTCTTGTAAGGCTGGTCTAGTAGTGATGCATTCCCTTAGCTTTTGCTTGTGTGTGGAAAATGTTACTTATCTATCATTTCTAAAGCATAGCTTTGCCTGGTTTAATATTCTTAATGACAGATCTTTTTCCTTCAGTACTTAGAATATACTATACCATTCTCTCCTGGCCTGTAAGGTTTTCTCTGAGAAATGCACTGTTAATCTAATAAGGATTCCCTAATATAAGACTTGACTCTTTTCCCCACCTCCTTTTAAAATTCTTTCTTTTGTCTTTGATTTTTGATAATTTGACTATTGTACGCCTCAGAGAGGACCTGTTTGGGTTGAATCCATTTGGGATTCTTTGGGCTTTCTGGACCTGGGCATCCATCTCTTTCCCAAAGCCTGAGAAATTTTCTGCTATAATTTCATTAAATGTGTTTTTCTTCATCCTTTCCCTTCTCTTCTCCTTCTGGAGCATTCATTATACAAATATTTGTTCACCCAGTGGTGTCCCATGAATCCTGTAGGCTTCCTTCATTCTTTTTTCTTTTAAATTTTTGTCTGCCTGTGTTATTTTGAAATACCTGTCTTCAAGCTCAGAAATTCTTTCCTCCGATTTACCTAGTCTATTGTTTAATCTCTCAGTTGTATTCTTTATTTCATTCATTGAATACTTCAGCTATAGTATTTCTATTTGGTTCATTTTATGATATCTATCTCTTTATTAAACTTCTTATTGAAACCATGAAACATTTTCCTGATTTCATTGAATTTTCTACCTGTATTCTCTTGTATCTCACTGAGTATGCTTAAGATTATTATTTTCAATTCTTTTTCAATTCAATTTCATATGTTTCTTTATGATTAGGGTCTGTTACTGGAGAACTAATATTTCCTTTCAAAGAGACATGTTTCCTTGCTTTTTCTTGTTTGATGTGTCCCTATATTGGTTTCTTCACATCAGGTGGAAAAGTCATCTCTTCCAATTTTATGGAGTAGGTTTTGTAGAAAAGGCTCATTTATATTAATGTGTCTTAGGATATCAGTTTGGTCTGGTATATTGGCCTTGGTTCTAGGTGGAGACAACAGTGGAGTCGTCATATAGTTTCCTCAGTTGTAATACACACTAGCAGTGTTTGCAAGTTTCTCAGTGGCTTATCTGAGAGAATTTGTGGCAGAGGTGGTATAGCGTTGCTGGGTGTGGGTTCACCAGGCTGTTTCTCAAGTTGGGGGCACCTGTGTGCACATGGGTTGGCCAATTTGGGGTCTGTCTCATTGGGGTTGGGACCATGGGGCTGTTACTCTGACCAGGAGCATGGGCACACATTTGCTCAGCCAGCCTGGGGCACGTCTGCCAGAAGCAGGCTGTGGGGCTGTTTCTCAGGCCCAGGACATGGGCATGCAGCTGCTCAGCCAGCCTGGGGATATGTCTACCAGGAGTGGCCCACAGGGCTGTTTCTCTGACTTAGGACATGGGCGCAAGGATGCTTGGCTGAGCTGGGAGTATGCTAGCGAAGGGTCTCCAGTGGGGCTGTTTCTCCAGCCTGGGACAAAGCTGCATGGCTGCTAAGTTGGCCTAGGGGTATGTTGCAGGGGAAGACCCAGAGGTCTATTTCTCAGACTTGGGGAATGGGCAAAAGGTTACTTGGCTGACCTGGGGGGAGTATGTCTGCTGAGGTGGCCTACAGGGCTATTTCTCAAGTCTGGAACATAGGCACATGGCTACTTGGCCAGCCTGGGGGTGTGCCTACCAGAGGCAGGCCATGGAGCTGTTTCTTAGGCCCAGAATATGAGCTCTTGGCTTCTCTGCTGGCCATGGGACGAGTGCTCATGACGGGTGGCTTGTGGGATTGTTTCTCAGGCCCTTATTGGGGATGAAAGGCTATTGAGGACACCAGAGGCATGTCTGTGGGGGTGGCAGTGCAGCAGGGCTGTTTCTCAGGTCCTCAGCATGGGCATGTAGTCACTCCACTAGCCCAGGAGTCTATTAGCTGCTCGGAGGCTCATGGGGGGTTGGGGGAGTAATACAGCGGTTCTGCTTGGCACAATGAAGATGGAGCCCTGGGTCTGGAGAGGTGTAGTGGCTACTGGCCCCCAGAGCAGGGCACACTCTAGAGGTGTCTCTGATCTCAAGATGGCACTGTGCTGCAGAAGCTGGGCTTACAGGTAGTGGGCAGTGCACACTTGTGCTTTTAATCCAGGGCAATGCAGCTGTATGCATTCCCAGCTGCTCTCCAAAATGAACTCAGGGCTTGCAAAGGCTATGGGATTCTACTGTAGTAAGGACTGTAGGTGTTTGCTGTGGGAATGGGTGCCGGTGGGACTCTTCCACCTACCTTCTCCTCCCAATGGGAAGTCCCTCTTGGCTCCAGGCACATCCAATCTGCGTGAGGAAGATGGGGCTGCAGAGGCAGGGTGCCTCCATGCTGTCCTCCTGGACTTCCAATCAGCACTATCGTGTCTCCACTCCCCCACTTCACTCCAGTGCCCTTTGGCACTCCAGTCAAATCTTAGCTGTTTATCCATTGCCTTGCTCCTGTCTCAGGTGGGGAGGTAAGCTTCAGGCATCTCCAGGCAGCCATCTTGCTGACATCTCTCCTCCTGATAAGGTTTTTCTGACTCCAGAATTCTCTCTCCTAACCACTACCTTCTATGTTGTTTTCCTTCTATTACTTTTCCATACCAACACTAAGAATAGTATTTGGTTAGGTGGATCTTATTAGTTGGCAACGCAGTCTAAATTCACTAAATTGTTAGACAAATTTCCATTTACTTTAATATGATTCAGAAACTACCAGTGTAATCACCTTTTTCCTTTATTGCAGTTTAAGTAACTTTTTATACTAAATATTTCATATCAAACTTTTCTGATTATAAATGTTTTCTGTAAACCAAATTTACTTGAGAATGATCAATATTTCTTTCAAAGCAAATGACAATACCACTGTGAAATATGTATCTGCAATGCTTCTCAATCTTTTATATCAAAGGTAGAAAAGAATGCATAGGGATTAGATTAATATTGGATATTTTCAGTTACTTATCACTGAAATGTTGTTTGAATGCTTTATTTCTCCAATAAAGGAGAGCCAGAGGTGTTGATCAATAAGTTGCTAAATCGATTTTTTTAAAGAGAGACAGAAAGAGAGAAAACCTTATTCTGGTTTTACTTTCTATTTCAAATGCATACAAAGTAACTCTTTACAGGAAGAGTACCCATTTTGTGATGTTTTTCTAAGATTATTAAAGACTTTTCTGTTTTCTCACAGACTTGGAGTACCAGTTAAATTAAATTAGAGAATTTAATAGGTAAAATATATAATTTACCTCTGTACATGCCACTCAATTTTAATGTGAACATAAAACTTCTCTAAACGTAGCCTATTAGTTTTTTAAAATTCACATAATTTTAGAATTTTTAATGATAATTTTAAACGTATAGTTCTGCTGATTATTAGATTGACTCAAAGTCTAACAATTTGCTTTAATTCAGTTGTTCTCAACCCTACCTATCTGCCTGTTAGAATTCTCAGGGAGCATTAAAAATGTGGGTACAATAACTCTGTGAATATACTAAATGTCATTGAATTTTACATATTTATGTGTGTGAATTTTACATGAATTGTATGTCAATGGAGATTTTTAAAAAATATGGGTGCCCGGGTCTCACTTGGGACTAATTAAACTTGAATCATACTAGGAAGGGTCAAGGCACCCAGGTGACTCTAATGTGCGGTCAAGGGCTAAAACCAGATTCAGCTTGTCCTTCTTAGTTAAAAAAAAAGAAAACCAAAACGCTTTTAATCTCCCAAGTATGTAAGTTGATTAAGTCTTCAAGATTTTGGTTATAAGGACAAAATTCATTAGAAATAACTGAAAACAACCTAGTTGTTTTTAACTCACTTTATTGTTAGCTTTAAAAAAATGCAAGAATGATGTCATTTGAGAGCAGAGGAAAGACAAAAATTCCGGCAGAATTATATCTAGAACCAAAGTGACCTATTCTGGAGAGAGGTTTAGGGGTGGTGGTGATTTTTCCACTGCAGTACAGAGGTTCACCAGAACCTACCATAAGGGTCTGGACTGGACTGGCAGGTTAAACTTTTCTGTAGAAATAGATGAAGATGACACAGCTTTTCCATGACTAAATACAATCACCCTGGTCATTACTCTGAGAATGTGGCAGTTTGTGTCTATGACATGACTTTCCTGTTGGAAATGGAAGCGTCCTGTGGTAAAATAGCGAACCCTCTAGTTACCTCCCCTACATTCAACCTCTTTCCATGATTGCAGAGATGGGCTCTGTGATTTAAGTCGACCAAGAAAATGCCATGTCTCTAGACACAATGATTGCTTCAAGGATAGATGCGTTACCTAATTTAGTTTAATCAGGGTGGAGCTCAGGACTTCTGTTTCACTAGTGGGAAAAATACATACTTTCTTCCTCTGGCTGTGAAGGAGGAAACATATAGGGCTATGGACTACTGAAAGCTAGCATTAGGGAGGCCACTTTGAGAACAAATTCAACCCATGGAGGCAGACAGAGCTAAGATTGTAGAGAAATAGATGAAGAGCCCTGATAACATTGTGAAAATGTGGATCAAACCGTGCCTAAACCCTCACTGATCCAAGAGCTTCTCTGTTACTTGAGCCAATCCCTTTACTATATAATTCAGTTTGTGAGGGGGAGGGAGGATTTCTGTTTCTTGCATACAAAAGCATCTTAGTTGATTCAGTGATTATATGTCAACTTTCTGTAATGAATTAATTCACAAATTGGAATTAAGAACCAATAAGATATTTTGAAATAACAGTAACCTCCTCAGGTATTTGAATTTAAATAGAGAAATGGTCTAAAACCAATGGTCCAAACCAAAGTTTCTTTTAAAAATGAAGACGTGAATGCTCATCAGTTTATTAGGGTTGGGATTTAGGATAGAAACCTTCTCCAAGCAAAACATTCTTAAGGAGGGTTATCTCGCTTCTATTTTGTGTCCAGCAGGATCTATCTTCCTTTTGATAATTCTTTCTGCTACTTCTTTACTGGTGCCTTTTCCTCCAACCACCAATATTATTCTGATTACCACTAAATCAGTCTCTTTCTCTCTTCTTCTCTCTCTTTCCCTATCTGTCTTCACTTTTCTCTCCACCCATTATGATGTTTCTCTTTTTCATTCTGACTCCCACTGTTTCTCCAAGAACAAGATTAATTTGAGCCTATCCTTTTGGTTCAAGAGGGTCCTGAAAGTAGTCCCTGCAGGACACTAAATAACTAATAAATTAATCCAAGTCAATACTCTAATGGCTACATAAACTTTTTCGGATTGTACATTAATTTTTAAACCTGCCTCGATTCATCCTTGTTTAAAGATTATATTTGATGATCTCAATTTTTCTGGAGAAAAGACCTAGAGAAGAATGGGGGCAGCTTTCAAGGAGATCTTTAGACCATTTTGCAGAAGCTGACGTGACCAGGGGACTGGAGAAGGAAATTCTGGAAGAATGAATGTAGAAGGCTTCCATTCTGGAGGGAACTTGGAACTTAAGTGGTCGAAGGTGAGCTAATGAAAGAAAGGGAGAATCTATTTCTAAATTGAGAATGGGAGCAGGACACATTGTGTTTATTAGCGAAAAAAGCATTTCATAAAAGAAAATATGGCCATAAGGAAGTGGATTATTGTTATGATCTCAGAAAATCAGCAGTCAGACTTAAGCTCTACAGAAATTCAACCAGAAGTTTATGTATAATTTTTACATACCACAAAAAGAATGAAATCCATGTAAAAACTAGGTTGTGGCAGGTGGATCACAAGGTCAGGAGTTTGAGACCAGCCTGGCCTACACTGGAGAAACCCCATCTCTACTAAAGATACAAAAAATTAGCCGGCGTGGTGACATGGGCCTGTAATTCCAGCTACTCAGGAGGTTGAGGCAGGAGAATTGCTTAAACCTGGGAGGCGAAGGTTGCAATGAGCCAAGATCATGCCATTGCACTCAAACCTGGGTGACAGGGTGAGACTCCATCTCAACAACGACAACGAAACAAACAAACAAACAAACAAACAACTAGGATGTTAGCAGAGGTCATCACTGGTTATGATATATGAAAGACAAGTATTAAAAGGAAGAGCAACAAATAAATTTAGAATGGGCATGTTATTACCAATTTTACCTTTCAAGTTCTCCATTCTTGACTCGTTCTTTGCATAGACATCTTTTTCCCTTTCAGACACTAGAATGAGGCAGTTTTATGTTTATACTTTTTATGATGATTTTTAAAACTGTTTAGATTTCACTGCATGGAAGGGCCACATCCTTGAGAACACCTGCCCTTGCTGTTAACCGATTATTATTAAGCAAGAGCAAATGTCATGAAGTCAGTTACAATAAAGTGTAAATAAAAAAGTTTATGACAGGGTGTGTAAAGCAAAAAAATTGAAATTAATCACCCAGGCAAAGCAATGACAGATCCAAAGGTCATTGTTTTGTTCACTCAAATACTTTATTAGATACCTTGATCAAAAATTATGTTCATGTTTCAAAATCTTTAACTTGTTGGTACCATAATCGATTAACTTTTGCATAAATTCTAGTGAAACAATTACATTCAATTTCAAAATAAAAAGTGTTTACTAATATAATGAGCTGTTCTCCATGAAGAGTCTGAGCAGTAACTATCAACCCACACATTTTAATTTCTTAAGATATTGTGCTTCTTTTACAGTTGGAATTTATTCCAACTTATTCAGCTTTCTGTACTCACCTTAAACAATAACTTTGTTTAATTGAGAATCAGAATTATTCTAAGAATTTAGCACAAGAGATATAATTATTCTTCAAGTGGCCTCTTAACATCTTTTGCATCCTATCTTATGTGGACTGATCTCGAAGAATTTAAGAGATGACTTAGAATTGGAAGAAATGCCCTACTCAATTTCATTAGAACAATTGTTTATTAAGCATTTACTATGTGCCAGTGCTAGTCAGTATGCTAAGTGTTGCAGGGAGCACAAACATGAACAATATATCTCTTGTCATTGACAGTGTTAATAGATGGCTGGGGAATGGTTAGATCCACTGTGATCTTTATTGTTCACCACATCTAACCCAAAACAGCACACAATCTAAGTAAAAGCACCGTGCCTAATATTTTAAATTACCTTCTTGTCACATACGCTATTAGGAGCACTCCACCCCCACTTCACACCCTTAACAAGATTAGCACTTCTAAGTCTCTTCTACCTTGGCTCTGGTACTGAAGAAACATGGTCTGATAAGGAAAAAAAGTGAGTACATACATACACACATACACACACGTGCGTGTGCGCACACACATACACACACTTCAAAACCTTTGATATAAAGGATTACAATATACAAAGTGACTTTTCACCTTTCTCGTTTTCTATTACCTGAATGTCTTTCTTTTGAACTGCCCCTTTGTTCTCTACATGCTTTTAATCAGAGGATTCTTGGCAAAATCTATTTTCTTAGTGTTTGTGTGTTAAGTCACAATGGCAGATGTTCTGGGCAAACTATTATTAAAACATAGGACCTTCAATTGTATGTTCAAAATTACCCAGTTCCACCCAAGGTCAACCTCAAGGTTAAAAGGCATAATTTTAACCCCAACTCCAATCTCTGTCATCTCTCATTGAGTCTTAAATATGCCAAATTTAATTGTATGTGATTTATAATTTCTCTTTAATATTCATAATATATGCATTCTGGACCACCAAAATAAGTTGACCTTCATCTTTCTTCATTTGCTTTCTCCAGTAGCAATTTTATTTTTCTAGAGTCATAATTATTATTTTATTTTAAATACTGTTTTTACTGTATCTTTTAAATTAACAAATATCAAGATCGACTTGAAAAATTCGGGGGGAGCATGCATTTCTATGAATTTTAACCTATGTATGAATTCCTATAACAACCACCACAGTCAGGAAACAGGCCTGTGTGGGTCTGTTTCTGTATGCTCTATTCTGTTTTATTGATCTATGTGGCAATTCTTTTGCCAAAACCACAATTTGTTGATTAATGTGGCTTTATAGCTATTCTTAAAATTGGAAAATATAAGTATTTCTATTTTATTCTTCTTTATAAAATCATTTTGTGTATCCAAGCTCCCATTCCTTTTCATATAAATTCTAGAGTCCATTGTCTAGATCTATAAAAATTCCCACTTGGAGTTTGATTAATATTGTGTTAAATTTGTAGAACAATTTAATGAAAAGTGTCATGTCAACATACTGAGTTTTCCAATCCATGAACAGGGTGTGTTTCTATTTATTTAGGCTTTCTTTGAGTTCTTTAATCAGTGTTTTGTAGTCATTAGGTTGCTGCAAAAGTAATTGCAGGTTTTGCTATTACTTTCAATGGCAAAACCCACAGTTACTTTTGCAGGAACCTAATAGATATTCTAAATATTTTCATTTTTGGAACAATTATAAATCTTTTTTTTAATTGGAGTTTCCGATCGTTCATTGCTAGTATATAGAAATATGATTGAATTTTGTGTATTGAACTTGTAATGTGCAACCTTGCTAAATTTACTTAGTAGTTCTAAGAGGTTTTTGTTGATTTCATAAGATTTTCTACATATTCAAGCATATCATCTATAAATAGAAACAGATTAATTCTTATTTTCCAAATTGTCGTGCATTTTTGTGCTGGCTAGGACTTTCAGTACACTATTGTATAAGAGTCATGAGAATGGATAGCCTTGCCTTATTCTCAGTGGGAAAACATTCATTCTTATATAACGAAGCATGGTGTTGGCTGCAGGTTTTATGTAGATGTCTTTTATCGGCTTAGGAAAGCTCCCCACTTTTCTCAGTTTAATATGTATTTTTTATTATGAAAAGACGTGGAATTTTATCAAATCTTTTTTCTGCATCAATTGATAGTCATGTTTTTTCTTCTTTTGTCTGTTAATACGGTAGATTACATTGATTGATTTTCAAATATTGAAGTAGCCCTAAGTTCCTAGACAAACTTTTCTTGGTCATAGTCATATATTCTTTGTCTTATATTCTTTTTATATGTTTATGAGTTTGGTTTGCCAGCATTTTGTTGATTATTTTTCTGTCTATATTCTGAGGGATATTATTCTTTAGTATTATTCTCTGGTACTGTTTTTGTCTGGTTTTGGTATAAGGCTGATGCTGAATATAGTCTATCCTGGTGAGTATGTAATCTGCTTTTGTTGGGTTGGATGTTCTATAAATGTTAACTAGACCTAGTTGGTTAATAGTGCTATTCAATTATATTTTTGCTATTTTTCTGTGTACTTGTTCTATCAATTATTGAAAAAGGAATGTTGACTTTTCTAAATATGTTTGTAGACTTAGATATTTCTCTTTTCAATTCTATCAGTTTTGGCTTTATATATTTTGAAGCTCTGTCGTCAGGTGTATGCACATTTAGAATAGTTTTATGTTTTCTTGTAAATTTTTTTTAAATATGCAATCTCTCTCTTAATCACCAGTGATTTTCCTTTTTTTATAGTTTACTGTATCTGACATTAACCACACAAGCTTTCTTTTGACTAATGTTTGCATAGTATTTTGCTTTTCATCTTTTAAATTTAACCTCCTAATAAAATTATATTTGAAGGAGATTTCTTATAAACAGTATATAGTTGAGTTTTAAAAAAAGTTATTCTGACAACCTCTGTCATTTACTTTGCTTTCTTGGACTATGTATATTTAATAAATTCATTAATATGTTTGAAATTAGGTCTATGGTTTATTTGTTTTCTTTTTATTCTCTATTTTGTGTCTGTTTCCTCTTCACCTCTTTATTTGGATTATTTAACTATTTTCTATTATTCTAATTTATCTATTGAGTTTTTGGCTATGTTGCTTGATATAGTTTTTAAAAACAGTTTTTCTTTGTAGTTTATAATAATACATATTTAACTTGTCACTGTCCACCTAGAATTAATATTTTACCGACTGAAGGAGTGTAGAAAACTCCCATAGGTTTTCTTTTAACTTCCCTGTTTATGTTGCAGTTGTCAAATGGGTTAGTTCTACTTACTCTGAAAATCCTATCAAGACAATGTTTTTTGAAATAATTTTTTTGCTTTTGAAAATCCTATCAAGACAATGTTTTTTGAAATTTTTTTTGCTTTGATTGGTATGCATATTTGAAAGAACTTAGAGGAGAAGAATAATCTAATATGTTTATCCAGCTTTTACAATTTCTGCTACTCTTCTTTTATTCCAAATGTTCTAAGTTTTCCTTTAATATCATGTCCCTCTTGCATGGGAAATTGCCCTTGACTTTTTTTTTTTTTTTTAGAGCAGGTATTTGGTGATAAATTCTTATTTTTCCTCTATCTTAGGATTTCTTTATTTTTCCTTCATTCCTAAAGGATATTTTTACTGGATATAGAGTTCTGGGATAACAGTTCTTTCCTTTCAGCACTTTGAAAATGTTATTCCAACATACTCTACTTCTATGGTTTCGGATAACAAATCCAGTCATTCAAATTATTAACATCCTGTAAGTAATGTATTATTTTTCTCTAGTTGCCTTCAGAACTTTGTCTTTGTCTTTGGTGTTCAATAGTTTGATTATAATATATTTGGACATTGGTTTCTTTACATGTATACTGTTAGGACTTTACTAAGCTTCTAGAATGTATAACTACATGACTGTTGCCAAATTTGGGAAGTTTTCAGCCACTATTTCTTTAAATATTTTTTATGCCTCTTGCTCTTTTTCTTCTCCTTCTGGGACTCTGATGACTTAGACCTTTTGGAATTGTTCCATAGGCCCCTAAGTCTTTGCTCATTTCTTTATAATCTTTTTAAATTTGTCTTTGTTGTTTAAGATTATTTTTATTTACCTATTTTTAAGTTTACCTATTACATTTTGTCATCTCCATTCTGCTGTTGATCCCATCTAGTAAATATTTTTTATGTTATTGGATACTTTATGCAATTTTTATTGTTTTTCTTTGTGTCTTCTATTTCTTTGATGAGACTCCTCATTCATTTTAAGAGTGTTGCCTCCATGCATGCACAGCTCTTAAGTCAGCCCAGGAGTGCATGTATGTTTTCATGAGTTTGACTTCTGATTTTCCCCTTCACCATGACCTCTCCAATACCTCTGGCTCCCACAGGCCTTACTTCCTGGCCCTCTGTACAGAAAACTAGGGGTTAAATTCCCTTTGTCTACCATGATATTCTTGTGACTGGGTCTGCATATACTGCCAAAATTGCGGAAGGACAGAGAAAGAAAAAAAACAATGGGGATTAACTTCATACTCTTGGGACTACTTTAGTCATAGAGAGGGATTCTTCTTCAGATTTTTAGGTACCTCCTTGGCCACTACCACCACAATAGTATTGCCTGGGGGCTAAGGCAAGAGAGAAGGGAAAAATAATGATTAAAAAGTAAGGATTTTCCCCGCTCTCTGTGATCCATGGGATTCCCCTCTTCCGCAATTTCTTTAGAAAGAAAGGGATCTTCTTGAAGCTTTTTGCTCTTTACTCATGTGTACTTCTGGATTTAGAACTTCCCTTGAGCCTATGTCAAGTGATACTGGAAGGGAACAATGGAATATTCACCACTGGTTTGGTGCAACTTCAAATTCTGGGCTCTTTCTCCAATCTTCCTGCTAAAATTTACTTTTCAGCATCTTCATATAGTTGCATCAACATTTATACCTGCATTAAGTGGGAGAGACAGAAGTGTGCTTCCTCTATCTTCCCTAGCACTGCAACCTTTCTTAAGTACTCTTAATGTACAACTTACTGCACAGATTTTGGGATTTACATTGTACTCTGATAGTTCTTTGAAGTTTATAAGTAGATTTATACATTTATTAGTAAATTTCACGTGTATGATCTCATTTTATCCTCACAAGTCTATCAGTTTGTATAAATATAGGAACTAAATTTCAAGGAGTCTCTGCTCACACTGGTTAACATTTAGCAGAGAAATGCATAGAAGTCTATTCTACCAGTTTCAAAAAGAAGTGGAATCTGAGTAGAGGGAATACAATTCATCTTTCCTTTTCTCTACCTTCCTTTGGCCTCTTCCTTTTACCTAATATAGCCTCCCTCACATCTCTAAACTCAAAGATCGAATCATTCTTTACCACTTGTACAGAACTGTTCTTGCCATTACCATCTGGATTTAGAAATGATGACTAAATTGCCAGTTCTATGGGAAGGTTACTGTACCAACCTTTCTCAGTTATACTTAGCTGTATGCACTTATTAATTTAACAGTTACTATATTTCAAATGCTTTGCTAGGGGCAGCAAATAAAACAAGAAAAAGATGGATCCCTGAATTTAATGGGCTCTCAGTCTAACAAGAAAGACAAATGTATTATTCTGTTCTCGCACTACTATAAATAAATACCTGAGACAAGGTAATTTATAAAGAAAAGGTCGTGGTTCCACAGGTTGTATAAGAGGCATGGCTGGGAGGTTTTGGAAACTTACAATCACGGCAGAAGGCGAATGGCAAGCAGGCACCTCTTACATGGATGGAGCAGGAAGAAGATAAAGAGGAGGGAGGTGCTACACACTTTTAAATGACCAAATCTCATGAGAACTCTGTCACAAATACAGCATCAAAGGGGGAAATTCACCCCCATGATCCAGTCACCTCCCACCAGGTCCCACCTCCAACATTGGGGATTACAATTCGACATGAGATTTGGGCAGGGACACAAATCCAAACCATATCAACAAACCATGTTGATAACTACTGGCAAATATTTATTGCCTACTCACTATGTGCAATTCACTGTATTAGTGGACTGTATTCATAGATAGGTAAATGTTGTCCAAAACTGGGCTTCCCTCCCACCTGTTTTTTGTCTTTCTCATCTCATTTACTAGCAACACTATTCTTCCAGTTGCTCAGAACAAAAACTTCAGTGTGATCCTAGTCCCCTCTGTGTCTCTCGCATCTCATTTCCAGTGTCAGCCTATCCTATTAGGTTGGTGCAAATGTAATTGTGGTTTTTGCCATTACTTTCACAGCAAATAACGCAGTTATATTTGCACAAACCTAGTATTATCTATACATTTAAATTATGTCCAGAGTTTAACAAGTTCTCACCATTCACACTATTTACCTGACCCAAACCAGCATCCCCTCTCACCTGGATTAACTCCTGCTACTCTCACCCTTCTACAGTCTATTCTCAATAGCCCCAGCGAGGGGCTATTAAACCATGTTGTATAGTGTCAGTCTTCCATTCAAAACCCAGAGATGGCTCCTCTTTTCACTCAGAGTAAAAATCAACTTCCTTCTCTAACCTACAAGGCCATAGATGATTCTGCTCTTGATAGAACCTTCTTCACAACTCTTTATTTCTCTAACTTCTCTCTCTCTCTCTTCTCACCACATCAGCTGTGCTGGACTCTTGGCTGGTCCTTAGACACACTAGGCACATTCCCATCTTAGGGCCTTTGCACTTACGGTTGCCTACCTAAAATATTCCCCTTCTCATCCTCCCCCAACCCCCACCCCCACCCTCATGACCAGTTATCCACAGGGCTCACTAGTTTGATCACTTTTCTGGTCTTTTTTCCAAAGTCACCTCAGCAAGGTTTACCTTGGCCACTCAGAATAAAATTTCAACCTCTTCTCCAACCCCGCATGACTTTAATTTCCTTTTCTTAACTTTCCCATTTAATGATGATCACTACCTAAACCACTACTTATTATGCTTATTATCTTGTTACTGTCTCTCTTTCTCCTCAGTAGAGCACGGAGTCCATGAAGGCAGTGATCTGTCTTCGCAGCATCTAGAAAACAATCGGCCCACACAAATTTTATTTATGCTTTAAAATAAACACAAACCTACCCTCACCCAAAAACCTTCTGTAATTTAGAATTTAATGCAATGCTGCTCATAGTGAGTACTCAATAAAAATTGAAAAAATTCTTAGATGAACTGATGACCAAAGATGAACATTGTATAAAACACTTTAAATTGATTTTTCTTTATGGAAAGATAGTTGCCTTTGCTTTAGAGGTTAAATAGGGATAGGATTCTACTCACCACCTTTGTTAGTTCAGCACAATTGGCCAAAAGACCACCTTGACTTAGCCTAGGCCAAAACTTAGAAACGGAACAAACATTTTTATTAAAGTGACCCAAATAATAGAGAAAAATATAGAACCTAAACTATGGATACATTAGTAAAGCATACATTCTGATTCTAAATTTGATTTTATTCTTAGGATATAATTTGAGATTCTCATCCTTTTAGCAGGTGACTAAGTCTAGCACAGTAACAAATACACTAAGTTTCTGTATTAACCAGGATACTTTTAGATTTAATTGGCAGAAACCCGATTCAAATTGATTTAAAGAAAAAAATGAGGAGAGAGGGACTTATTGGCTCAAAAAATTGGGAAGCTAGAGAGTATAACTAATTTTAGGCATGCTGAATTTAAAGACATTAAGTGATTAGATTGAGACACACACACACACACACACACACTCACCTTTTTCTCTCTTTCCATCTTTGCTTTGCTTTCTGCTGGATTGGTGATCTTCTTAGGCAACTTGTATCTATGTAATGATAGAAATAACCACTCACAATGCCAGGGTTACATCTTATAGTTTCTCAAATCTGATGAAACAGAACTTATTTTCCCTGTAATTGTCCCAAAAGTCTTGCAAAGACTTCTGACTGTCTCATCTTGGCAATAATTGATTTATCCATAAGTGATGAATACAGCATTGTTATTGTTATTGTTGCATCAAGATCTATGTGTTATTGTTTTTTGTTTTTAAAATATTGTATCTTAGTGAATGGATAAGGACTTCTATTTTAGGAAAACTGTGATCTGGTTGAAGCCAAGTAGAATCTCAGGCTTCATTTTAGTAACCTCTAGGTCAATGTTTTCTGTAATTCCAAGCAAATGTATCCAAACTGTTAAATTTAAAGACCTCTAAGTAAGTTCATTTTAGAAAGTTAAATCACAAAAAGTACTATGATTTTTGCGAATTCATGTCTGCTTTAACTCCTGGAAATCCCCAGTTTACTTTTGGTAGATAATATTCACCTGTAAAGCAATTTGACATTGGAAATTTCCTATTACAAATTATGGTGGTCATTAATGCTATTTATAGTCTGGTAGGATTGTACTTAATGACCTCTTTGTGGTAGGATGAGGCCTTCTAAGGAGTTCTTGCCAATAAATTGTGAGCAGAAGTGATATGTGTCAGTTCCAAGCAGATAATATAATTGCCTCCAGAGCCTTCTTTCCCTCTGTATTTGGTAACTAGCAATGCTTGAGGTGGTGGCTGTGGCTGCTGTGTCATTCTGGGTGCCTAAGTAATAAGAGACCAGCTGATCTGTTGTCACAGCTAAGTCCCAGTTGACCTCCTCTGATTGTTTTGTATTATGAACAAGAAATATACTTTTGTTGCTTATGTCACTCACATTTTGGTCTTGTTTGTTGCTACAGCATAATTGGCCTAACCTGGTATATATATGTGATCTTGTATGATTCTTTTATGTTATATGATTTTCAAAACAAGTCTCTGATGTGGGTGGCTCAAGTTTAATTGTTCTTCCCTCTTTTATAAATAATAAAACTAAAATTCAGAAAAGCTGCATACTTTGCCCTAGGTACACAGAATTAATAAGTGAGAAAACTGGGAATAAAACAGAATTACTGACTTGGAGTCTACTGCTCTTTTAAAAAGATAAAACTATAAACACAGAAAGAATCTTCTAATTCTTGACAGAAATGCTTTCAATTTAAAAATGTTCAAAGTTGAACATTATGTGTCATGATTTATATTTGAAAATACTGTGATTCATGACAATATTTTGTGTTATCCCACATCTATGATCACTGGCCTTGGTCTTTTCTTTTATCAAAACAGCCACTAGATAGAGAACATAGGAACATGATAAAAGTTACTTTTGAAAGTACATGCTTTGAACTAAAGGCTATGCTTAATTTGCTTAAACTTTAAAAATGTATTTATTCTTACAAAGTAGAGCCTTGAAACACTAACCCTGTTTTCACAATAAATCCCTATGACAGTCCTATGTTGTGAAGCTCCATTCTCTTAAACATAGACATTATACATCAGTTCATCTCTTTCAGGAAAATTTCCTTCAGAGATTTCTCAAAGCTGGAAAATCAAAATGGCTGACATGAAGATAAAATGGTTAAAAATCAACAACAACAACAACAACAACAACAACACACACACACACACAACCCCATTCCTAATGTCTAGGATTTCATGTGTGAACAGAACTGAAAAAAGTTTTCAAACCTGGATCTTTCAGTAATCCTTGTTTCGGAAAGCCTACACCCTGTGAAACTATTCTAGAGCAATGATTAACCACACAATGAGCCTGTGAGACAGCAGATGCTTGGCTCCCCTTTCCCTCCCTTCTTACCTCCTCACCAAACATATTTGTAGAGTACATATTTATCTACTTAAAAAAAGAGAGAGAAAACCCTGTTACCTCCCTTCTAACAGGAAGTAAGCAGGACTTCTCCTCACAGGCTATAAAAATATTGACAGTAGATAATGGGCCTGTACAAGATACTGGTGGGAAGGGAGTTAATAATCACAGGATCGAACTGCAGGGAGCTTCAGATGCTGCCTAAGACCAGAAAGGCAATGAATACTGTTTTTGTTAATAACTAGCTGGTGACAGAAAGCTCTTTCAATCTTGCCTTCCTGGAACTGGAAAATACAATACCAGAGAGATATATAGTAATAAGATATACCTATCTTATCTACATCCATGAAGTAATTTTCTGCCAATATAAGAAAGAATTAAGCATACCGTCTATTAGGGAGAAAAGGCCAACTCATAAATGTTTCTAAATTAAAATGCAGTTAGCAGCAATTGAAAATATTGGAGGATAAAACTATCTTTTTGAAAAATACTGCAAGAAAGTGGCAACTGATGTAGACAAACAGTATTACCTAATTTAATAAAACGTCTAAGGAATCTTCTGTTTTTAAAATGTTACTATAGCTCAATATTCTTATAAGCCTTAGGTGTTAGAACATTTCAGAAACCCAAGACGTTTTCATATAGCCTAATACATCCAGATGATTAAAGTACCAGAGAGTTCTTTTAGGGAGCACTAGGATTGTTCTATAACATAGACTAACTATATCTACATTGCCTCAGAAAATAAATGTTCAAAGGAGACAACCACACTCTGAAAATAACAGTTTTATCCTCCTGAAGCATAAATCTTTACTGCCCTTCAGTATAAACCAAACTGAAAAGATATGATGCATCATTTTCTGTAATGATTAACCCCCTATTTGCCAGCTGTCTTGGTGAGTACTTCTAGATTTCAGGAGACATTAAGTAACCACAAGTTGTACAGGTGCAAATCCCTCGTGCAAGTTTTGCACTAGCAATCTTTCTCTCTCTCATCTTTCTTTCTCTGATTTCTAGAAGTGTTATTATTTTAACCAAATGTCTTATTCATTTAACTTATGGGGTAAATGTTGAAATCATTTAAAGCATCTACTGTTTGTGAAACATATAATAATGGCGAAATCAACAGTTGAAGATGAATTAGTTTACTGTTGAAAAATTCAGGAGGATCCAGTGGAAGGATCAATTACCTTGGTAAACTTCAGGGCACAGTTCTGAATGGTTTATTTCATTTCCCCTATTGTTCTTTGTAAGTATCCTGCAAACCAGTTTATAGCATGTTGGACAAAAATTGTTCCCATTGATAAAAGACAGCCTCTTTGAGGGTATTTTGTTTATCGTCTAGATGAAGATAAACTGAAAAGGGTACATGATGGAAAGAAATGGAAAAAACTGAAGATTGTTTTTAGAGAGAAATGATCTTGAAATGTTTATTGCTTGGTGGTTGTTTGTTGCTGAAAGCAGTAGCACTTCCTTCAGATTGCAGTCAAGGTGAACTCCAATAAGGTATTCCTTGAAGATGCTGGAGTCCTCTAGGCTGGAGCAGGGATCCTCTGTGGAAAGGCGTGTCGATGAGCTCTGATGCTAATGATAACGGGGGTATTAAATGAAGGTTACTATAGCAGGGTGCCTGCCCCAGGGAGGAATTCTGACTGCAAGGAAATAGAGATCTCTGACTCTTGATCAAACAGATGGGCTGATGCTGACCTGCATCAATGATCTCAAGTTGATTAACTGAGATTAGGAGGCGAAAGTCGACAGCACAGCCACCAAAACACTGCTGGGTGTCTCTGTCAGGAGAGAGAGGGGAGGGAAGCAAGAATAGGGGAGAAAAAACCTTCAGTTCACACTGACAGGAGATCCGGTTTCCCTAGCTCTCTGATGCCCACCTGCACCTCCCTGCCTCTGCTGTGTTCCCTGTCTAGGATGAAGGGGTGATGCCTGCGCTGCTCCTGCAGGAAGCACTGCAGATTTTTCAAAAGTGCAAGGCATTAATTTGTACCAGTGCCTGCCTGGGCTGCTGTGAAAAAGTGCTGTTGCCTTGCTGGCCATGCAGTGAAGTGGCTGCTCAAGTCTTGTCTTGACTGTGTCATGCTAGAGGTGAACCAGAAGGACAGACCCAAGGAATGGGGACTGGTGAGGTTAGGATGTTGGTAAAGGAACAAATACATGAAATAAAACCACTGCCTAAGGAGGGCCAGTGCTGGGAAATAAAGGTCAAGGGAATGGGGGAAGAAAAGGTGGCAATTGGACCAAGAGATGTCAGAAGGACTGGGGGGAAATGATAGGGAAGTGGAAATTGCTAGAAAAGAATGAGTGAAAAGCATGTGAGAGCTCATGAAAGGGAAGGAAAGATGGTGGTAGAAAGGAATAATGTGGTAGAAAATGCAGCCAGGCGACACAGGTAGTGAGAAAGTGCAAGGGGAAGAGATGCTAGAATTGTGCTTCTGCCTTCTGGGGATCATGTAGGGTAACCTCTTGAGTCACACTCAGCCACGGCAGTGCAAGCAGTGCACTGTAACACAGCACGGGGCCAGAGAAGAAAGCAACTTCCCAAGACTGGCCTGAGGGCATCAGCCTGTCCAACTAAATCCTGGAAAGGCATATTGGGGTTTCTGATAATCCGGATGCAACGGTGGATAAGACCTTGCCCTGACTCCAGAAATGCACTTTTAAAAAAGTGTCAGTTGTTAGAAGGACCACTGGAGCACAGTGGACAGAGTATTTCACTCTATCTAGGGGTTTCAGAGATTAGGCAAAAAGTTAAAGAAGGGAGGGGAAACCGTGTTGGAAAGGCTTTGTAGTTTTCAGGACAGAAAGAAGTCCCAATGTTGACTGTAATCAGTTTAAAGCGTCTGATCTAAAGAGAAAGCAAGACAAGGAATTCTGTGGCCAGGCAGAACACATACAGGCCTAAGTGACCTTGAATCTCACTTATCTCTTCCATGGGCACTATCTGCCTGTCACTGGGCCAGTGGCAAACTCAAATTAGACACAGGTTCCTGCCTTCAAGGGGCTGGCGCTTAAAAACAAATCTGAAATTCCAGTGGAATGTGAGAAAACTTTGTATGGGGTTCCAGGAGAAAAAAGAATCTTCGCCAGACCTTGAAGTGTTGGGGAGGAACCCAGAAGGAGGTGATCTCAGAGGTGAAAGAGTTCTGAGGACAACCGTTAGCCCACAAGATGAATTATTTTCTTTATTTCTCAGTAGAGTGAGGATGAGGAGGCTCCCTCAAGAAGGACCTTCATACAAAATGCCTGGTACCTGGAAAAGTGCTTTGGAGGGTCTCCCAAATGGACCTTACCAAATTACTCCTCACCTTCCACAGGCCCGGAGAAGACTGAGCCTCCCTCATTAATATAGTTTTTGGCTGAATAACCAAGCCTCCTTGTCCCCATCTCTCTAGTCCTTGGGCCAACTGGCTTATGTAGGGTGCAGCACCTATGAGAAAACATTAAACCCAAGCCAATCCCCTTGGTCTGGGTAAATCTTCACCTCTCTGTAGCAGAATGGAGAAGGTGGAGGAGAAAGAAGAGATGTTGAACAAAATGTTGGGAAAGTAGCCTTCTTGCCTACAGTGAACACATCTGGGATCATTCTCAGACAAAGCAGGAAAGGTCTACATGATAGCTTCACACTCCTTTTCTAGAATCAGGAGCCATGTAGATGTCCCAAAATAGTGGGGAATGTTCAGCCAGGTGAGTTATCCGGTACCACAAGGCAGGACACGTTAAGAAGTAATCTGGGCAGGTCATGGTGGTTCACGCCTGTAATCCTAGCACTTTGGGAGGCCAAGGTGGATCACAAGGTCAGGAGTCTGAGACCAGCATGGCCAACATGGTGAAACCCTGTCTCTACTAAAAATACAAAAACAAGCCGGATGTGATGGCGGGCACCTGTAGTCCCAGCTACTCCAGCTACTTGGGAGGCTGAGGCAAGAGAATCGCTTGAACCCAGGAGGTGGAGGTTGCAGTGAGATCATGCCACTGCACTCCAGCATGGGTGACAGAGCAAGACGCCATCCCCCCTTGCACCCCCCCCCTCCCCACCCCACAAACAAGCAATATGAGTTTAGGTTGTGGTAAACAGTGCTCTGACCTAAATCCCTAGGAGCTGTCCTGGTGTGCAGGTCGGGAGAGGGAGCAACAGGGGCTAAATAACCTGCGGGAAAATTTCTAGATAGCACTGCAAGTACAAAGTTTATCCCTTGATCCAAAGATGTGACCTTTGTGGCTGCTTGAGAACTTTGCTTTTTTGAATAGGAATATATTCTGCTTTTTAAGTCCTCTCTACTCCCTGCTTCACTCCTTGGGGGGTTGAATACTTCTAAGTTACAAGTCATACAAAAGAAATTGCCTTAAACCAATGAATCTGGAGGCATTATAAAATGGAGTACTGACTCATGACAGGTAAATATCAGAATTTTTCAAAACAAAGAAATATTTTTTAGACATTGAACCACTCAGAACAGTGGTATTTCCTTGTAGGAAGCTTTAGGGGAAAAAGCCAACAGCTCCAATGACCAGGTGAATAAAACATGTGTGTTGTCACTGAATGAATCCGCAGCTACAAAGTACCAGGTACATTTACTTCTCCTTTCAATAAGAATTATTTTCCCTGCCATTTTTTGCAAGCATACATGAGGCAATAATTTTGGGAAATACCTGCTTTCAGGCCATTACTCTTCAGGACACATTTTCATATAACACTCTTTAGCCTCATTTCCTATTTTGTGTTTAGAATTGGGATGGGTTTTTCTAGATAAAAGTGGAAATGAATGTCAATATGGAATAAACGGCAATAATGTCCAGTATCAATCACATCAGAGGAGCAAAGCTGGCATTCTAAATGAAAATTATTCTATCCAGTATGTCTGTTAAATCTATCATGTGGAAATGGAGCCTGCTCCATAACCATCTCCAAAGAACTATCTTATCTCCCTCTGGAGCAAATGTAAAACAGAAGAGTTCAGAGATCTCTACCACTTCCATATTTGACAAGAACTGGAGAAGCAAGTATAAGGTGGCTGGTTCAAAATATGAACCCAAGACAGGTGAAATGTGGTGAAAAAAACACTGACCCTAGGCTGAGAAAAGACCTGAGTTTCTGTGGCCATGAATCTACTGAGACTACGTTACCTTCTGCAAGATACTCAAATCTCTCTCAGAACCTCTTTTTTTTTTTCTGGTATGAAATTATGATTACATCCCAACAACCTCATAAAAAACAAATAAAGGTATTCTCTGAGGTCAAAAGTGGTTAACTTAAAGATTAGGTGTATGGTTTCAGGTCATTCAAAATCTCTACTATTTTTGAGGGTAACAAAGAGGGTTATGCACAGATACACCTGGAACTATGATTGAAATAATGTGATGGCAAACATAAGGCGACAATGCTGTGGCTCATTTGTAGTGATAATGCTACCCTCATCTAGGAGATGAAGCTTTTTTTCTATGTTTGTTCTGAGATTCCAACTGTTCTAAGTCCTTTTTTTTTCTTTCTTCTTTTTTTTTTTTTTTTCTGAGACCGAGTTTCACTCTTCTTGCCCAGGCTGGAGTACAATGGCGTGATCTTGGCTCACCACAACCTCTGCCTCCCGGGTTCAAGCGATTCTCCTGCCTCAGCCTCCCAAGTAGCTGGGATTACAGGCACGCACCACCATCCCTGGCTAATTTTTTTTTTGTATTTTTAGTAGAGACAGGGTTTCACCATGTTGTCCAGGCTGGTCTTGAACTCCTGACCTCAAGCAATGCGCCTGCCTTGGCCTCCCAAATTGCTGGGATTATTGGTATGGGCCACCGCACTCGGCCCACCTTCTAAGTCCTTTAGGAGAGGGAGCTCTATTTTATTCTTTGGCATCTCCTAGGGTGGTTAACTCCCCTGATATAGATTGGTGCTCAGTAAGTGCCCATTCATTGATGAAAACAAGAGGGATGTGGGTTATATGAGACAGTGAGGAAGAGTTTGAAAGAAATGAAAGAATTAGTCACCAAAGGAAGTTACACTGTTTCCTGGGCTCATTGCCTTTCTACATCATGAAAATGGTTTTCTCTGTATTCTCAGATTGCCATTACCAGCACAGCAGAATAGCTATTTCTTCAGTCAATTGATAGGTGGCTAATGTTTCCATCAAATTTGATGACCCTCTAAATTCAGGCTAGAGTTATTACAGAGTGATGTGACTTGGTCCACCTCCCTTAAACCAAAGGCTTTCTGACAATCTTCGCCCATCTTTCTATTTCTTTCAGAGTTTGTTGGTCTTGCTCCTTGCTTTTCATAAACACTCACTGGTTATCATTTTGGCTTCTCCCACTGAGTCACTTATGTTGGACAGTCAGAGGGTGAATGTGTTGTACCTCCTGGAATGATGCCCTTATGCCTCCAAAGGCAGCTGGTATCACGTTTGAAATTGAGACATCTTAGGGCTGGATCACATTGTCCCAGGCCAAATAGCCTGAAAACAACAAAGTCAAGTCATGGGATCCAAGAAGCTACGTTGCCTGCTTCTCTTTTTTCAGAAGCAAAACAAAACAAAAAAAACCAATACTGTATAAGGAGGTAGGGGGGAATTATTAGCTAGTTTCCATTTTCATAGACAATCTCAAGAAGGTGTCTGATAGAAACTCCCTTACATTAGTGTCTCAGGGATCCTCTGCTCTACTAGTATCTGATCGCCTGGAAACCCTGTATGCAAATTCCTGGGATTTTTCATTGACTGAATCAACATCCCTTGGGTTGGAAGAAAACTTAAAGAAAATAAATAATCCTGTGCATTTCTGCTAGGTTGTTTCCAGAAGCAGATGCATTATTGAAAACAAAAAGAACTGGCCTCCCATCTTCCTGGTCAACTTGTGGCCCAGTGATTTCAGATCTCTCCTAGTTTTGTGGCCCCCTAAGGTACAAAGAATGATGCCTACTCCTCCCTCAAATGCTACTTCACCCCTGCCCCAGATCATTGAAGATCCCTTCCAATCCTAGCCCCTCCCTTACCAGCACCCCATCTTTAAGAGTTTGTAGAGACAGGAAGGTGGGAGGAATTGTGGAGAACTGTATCTAGAAATGACAAACAAATGTCCAGTGGTCCAAAAGAGTAACGACATCTCTTGGCTTGAGAAATCCCAAGACCCCAAATCCTAGCTCACACCTTCTTCATCAACCTAACAGTATCTAGGCCTTGCAGCTGTGGTGAACCTGCTGGACATCCAAACAGCGTTTTCTTTATCATGTCTCTTAACTCACTAATCAGAATAGTTGAAAACAATAGTGAAAAATACTTATATTGAAGAGCACTTTGTTTTTCAGCTCTGTGGAGGAGCCTTCTGGTTTCACTGGGGAAAAGTATGAACTTGCAGAATGGGCCTGGCCTACTTGTAGATTAGGCAGCAAAAGCCTAATTTGTTTGTCTGGGACCAGAGAAAGCAGAGCTGAAAAGGGAGGGGCATCCTGAGAAGAGAAAGGCCTACAATCTTTGTATTGAAATGCTTAACTTTTCTTAAGGAGCCAAGGAAAGAAGAGTCAGGCACCCGCCCGTGGAACGACACGTGGAAGACAATGCCCATATGTTGGCTTCTCCTTTAAACTCTGAGAATTTTACTAACATTAAAAAAAAAGTCTTTAGAATAACAGAGTGAGTGAAGAAATGCATCTCTGGCTAGAAAAGAGAAGTAGATCTTCAAATATCGGCGCTGGGCCGGGCGGTTGCATGGGTTCAGGAGCGCGTTTGCGTCTCCGCTTGCGCAGGAGGATGCTCTTGCTTCCTACCTAGTCCTGGTTCACTGCTTCAGGTGCCTCAGCCCCCAGCCCAACTTTTCCTGAACAACCCCACAGCTCTCCCGCCGCCGCCTCTGCCGCCTCCAGCTTCCCCTCCCCTTGGCATTGCTTGGCTTTAACTTTGCGCAGCTTCTTTGCGTGCTGGGCTGGTTGCTGGGAGGTGCAGTGGGCAGTGGCGGCTCCCGCTGCGCAGCTGGGGGAGGAGAGGGGCCCCGGCCGAGTGCGGGAGACGGCGAGAGACGCTCGCTACTGTGAGCTCTGCTGGTGGGGGGCCAAGGAAGGCTGTCGACGAGGAGGAGGCCGAGGTTGAGGAGGCCGGGGAGGGGTGATGATGGTGTTAAATGTGGCCGCACAGCTCCCCGGGGAGCTGCCTGAAAGGAGAGTGCGCTCACCAGCTGACAGCGCGTGCTCCGCTCCAGACGCTCCGCACCGCGGCCAGGAGCCTCTGCCAGACCCTCTATTGTCAACCGTTCTCTAATTAAGAAACACTCACATTACGGCAAACCACCCCCACGCTTCTTGGTTCCTGTCCTTTTCTTTATACTCCTCCGACTTCTCTCCTCCCCTGCCTCTCCCCTGCTTCCAAGGATTTAACCCATTCTCCGCTCAGTTTCCCCTTTCTCCTTAGGGGCCTAGTAGGAGAAAGGGAGGAACCTTAGTTGTCGGCGTCTGGGACTCTTCTTGGCCTAGGGGCGAGGGCGGTTAGCGAATGTAGAGTCAATAACATCGAGAAAAACTTATGCCTTTATTATATCCTTCTCCCTCCATCTCCTAACCCTTTTCACAAAAATAACTGCAAGCAATTCAACTACGATTGGTTATCTGTAACGCTGAGCAGCTCTTGCTGGTTTTTCTAGATTGCAACTGACAAGTCTAGATTATAATTGATAAGTGCATCTGCTACTTTTACTTTCCAATTCTAATTCGAGTTTGTAACTGGCAAGACGAATTTGATAATATTTTTCTTGAACTTTCAAATGGGCAAAGGAGAGAAATATTACAAGCTATCTTTTGGTAAAAGACCTCTTACTTGGTTCAAACACTCTGCTTACTTGGTTCAACACTCTAAAATCAATAGGAAGGCCTTATGAAAATATTGGTCATTCATTGGTTAAGATTAAGGAAATTAACCTCCCCCTTTTTTTCTGGTCAAGTTGGACCCCCAGTTAGCAATGTCCCATAGAAATCGTGTTTAAACTTGTCTGTTGCCAAAAATGATCTTCCTTCAGCTCTCCGTGAAATCAAATAAGTTTCCCAAAGTGTGGCGAGCCAAAACCCTCCACAAATAAAAGTGCTGGTGGGGTGGGAGGCAAAGACAGAATATAAAGCAAGCTGCTTAAAATATATAAAACTCTAGAAAGCACCAGCAGTGTCGCAAAGGACTAACCCGATTTATCTATCTTCATTACTTTAAGAAATGCTGCCTCTTTGTTTGTTTGGGTGATATTAAGCATGCTTAACTTGCACACATAGTTGATTCCTTTGCTAGTATCTTGGATACTTGGATCTGACTTTGGAAGGTAGAAGCTAATTGCTAATAATGGAGAGAAAGGAACCAGTCAGCATGGCAGAAGTGGTCTGGCATATGGGGAATGAGCACTCAGAAATACTCAATATTCAAGTTTCCAAAATATTAATGAGATTATAGCAACCTGCAGCTATATGTTACAGCTTGTTAATGGAGTGTAAGAGAGCGAGCTGCCAAACGTTTGTTATGCAAACTCCATAGAAGAACCTTAAAATGGAAATGTGATTGTACATCTCTTTCAAAGAAATGCCAGCAATAAAAAAAGAAAGAAAGAAATAGAATGGAGAGAAAAGGGGTTAAAGCTCTCATTTGAACTTTGATCACTCAATTTACCACAGTGATTTGACTTTTCTCGCATGTCTTAATGGGTTAGTAAAATGTATCCCCCCTTTTCAATCAACTGTGTTATAATATTTCCAGTTCTATATTGTTATAAAGACTATATCAGTATAGTATTTCGGATATTCCGTTATGGTTGTTTTTCTCTTGAGGAGAAATGTAAAGAATGTCCTTAAATGAAGCTGGTGTTATTTTCAATTCCTATGTAATGCCACTAATATTTAAAAGTATAAATATCCACCTACTGTGGTGGTACAACACCTCCCCACCAACATTTAGATAGCTGTAGCTCTTATCTATTGATTTCCTCAGAGAAAAATTATGAGAACATTGACCTAGCGGCCAGGAGTACTAAGATCAGTTCTGGATATTGACACTTTCTAGCTGTGTGATTTTGGGGGCAAATTAGGGACAGCAGTTTCCTCATTTATGAAAGATGTGAAGGAAGATGTTCCTGATGTCCTTTCTGTTTTGCAATTTCTATGAGACAATGAAAAATATTAACGTTGGACAAGGTCTTTCTCCTCTTTGATTGACACAAAATGAACAGAAATGGTTTTGAAAAATGAAACATAGATTTTCTTTGAGGAAAAAAGAAATCACCTTTTCCTTCCTCCTGTCCTTTTCTGAGCCAGATTCAGAACAGGTAAAATGAGTCTAGGTCCTTGTCACATGCATGCGAACACACTAAGCAAATAACTATAAAAATATGCGTGCTCTCATCCCGCAAGGTTGCTGTATGTCCATACCTGTTGGGTCTGCTTATTGAGAGCGAAATGGAAATGTGTTAGAAGCAATCGCTTGATTTATTCAGCAGCCCGAAGATTCCTGATGTTTATCGTGAGCACGGCAAACTCGATGGGTGCAAAAGGTTATCTAAGGGACAGGTGCATTATTTCTGCCCTGGAAAGTGTCACCAGCCGCCTGCTCGCTTCTCCCAGAGAGCTGGCGGACGTTCTCTGCATCTCTTGGTCGGCTTCCGCTGAAAGCCACAGATACCCAGGTGGTCAGTAAAAAGCTGGTTCTGCAGTTTCTTACTTAAGGAGACCAGAACCTGCGCTCCCTAGTGCATTACTCTTTCTGCAAACCCAGTTTGTGGCGCTTTCCTTTTCTTTTTGGCGCTTTTCTCTTTTCAAGGTGCTAGGAGGAGAAGAGGATGCAGGAGTGATTATACTAACCTTCCCTTGCTCTTTTTGGTGCTTCATTTCCCAGCAATTTGTTATCCCAGTGAGGCCTCAAAAGATAAAAGACTTGGCTTAAAATCAGCGTCTCAAATTCAACGATGTTTATCCAGTGGAACGTTGCCGAATATTTAGTTTAATAAGTAGTCCTACTCTCGTGTTTGCCAAATTTATTTTTTTAATTCCACTTTCTTCTCTCTCTCTCTCTCACTGTCTACACACACACACACACACACACACGCACACGCACGACTATTAGCTTTTCCAAAACCTATGATCCTGAGACCCAGAATAGGTTTTTCCTTAGTGAGAACACCTGAGGTGAGAGTGACAGCACCGTTTAGTTTATGCAATTGACTCAGAAATGTAGTTGAATATTTTCTACATAGAAGCTAATTTAGAAAGACAAAATAAAGACAGACATTAGCTTCTACATTGGGAGAAACAGAATTGTGTGAAAAGAAAAAAATGAGTGGAGGTCAACAAATTCCCAGGGCAACTACACACTTCTAATTTTTGAATCAATTAATCCCATTCCTTTTTTTCCCTCAAGTTTTTTTCTGTTATCATCTTTGTCTCTTCTGGTCTTCTTCTCCCAGAAGAGAGAGAGAGAGAGGCATAGACAGTGTGCACTGCGCTTGACCTATGTGAAAAATTTTCAGCTTGAGTAGGTTTTATGAGTGGACATAGCTAACCCTGGTAAAGTTAACTACTCCAGGCTAGGTTCTAGCAAACCTAAAACTTATGGCCTCCCCCCCTTGCAGATGTTGTTGGGGCAAGGAGTAAAGAAGACTGGGAAGATCCTGGCCATCAAAGAGGCAAAACTGTGCTGCAAATTTGGAAGAAGTTTTATCTCACAATTTAATTATTGACTTGAGTGCTTTTCTTTGAAGGGGTTTTGATACTACCTGAAGGCACCAAGTTTACAACATTTTTCTTCAAAACTGTAAGATCGCATAAATGACATTGAATAGAAGACTTAACTCAATTCTTCAAAGTCATTCATTTGAAAATTGTTTTCAGTAGTTATACTCAAGGAATAAGTGACAAAAGGCTTCTTTTCACATTTATTTTAATCATTTGCAAAACAAAATACATTAAACAAGGGCAGTTGGCTTTGCTAAATTAAAATAAAATGATCTCGAGTAGAAAACGTAAAAAATGAATCAAGATAAGTAGAAATGGTAGCAAACAATAATAAATAAGTTTTCTAATATTAACAAAGCAAAATAAAATTGACCAAATGCGTTTGACACTACTAGATTTTTTTTAATTTTTCATTTTTTAAACAAACATTTGCAAAGAGCTTAAGAATTATAAGTGGCTGTGTTTAAAAAAAAAAAAACTGGTCTGCAATTGGCAGTTGAGTTTCTCCTGGAGCCACCACCGCAGCAGCGGCTGATAAAGTGCGTGCGCGGAGTTTCCTAAAAGACGCCAACGTTCTCGCGATCGGATGCACATACTGGGTATGTTTATACAATATATAAACCTTAAAGTTTCTTGTTTTCTAACAATTCCATAGTCAAAAGTTATCCACTTTGGAAGCACTAATTTTGCGTTTCATTGTGCATTTTGGAAAACAACTTCGGAAGACTAAATCTCCCACACTTGAGTGCGCAACACACAAGGATGGATGCCCAGGGCGTAAAATAAATTAAACCCAAACCAGTGACAGAGAAGATGCGACGTTTTAGCAGCGTATTGGCAGCAGGGAACTAGAATAATGATGCCATATACGGGTACCTACAATTATACCGTATCTATCTAAAGGGGGAGCAGAAGGTGGGCGGAAAGGACACAATTTTAACAGAAAGTTTTCATCAAACAATATGGACCGTAGGAAGTTTGGAACAGCGGCGGCATTTGCAAACCATCAAATGTAGCTGCCATCTGAAGCCAAGTCGTTGCTAAACAACGACCATCGCAGAGCAAAAATTAAAGGGTGCGGGGATCTTTAACCGCGGGGCTTCCCGCGCACTGGGAAAGGGCAGTTTTGTTTCTGTCTCAGTTTTCAGGCTTCTGTCACCTTCCTAACTTGCCTCATCCGAGTCACTGTAATGGGAATGGGGGGAAAATTCCCCGTCGCTTCTGTGGGACCGAGGCGAAGTTTTGCTGTTTTCCTCCTGCACTGGCTGCAAGATGCTCCCGGGGAGAGAAGGAGACAAATTCTTTTGCGCCATCATCGCTGTCAGGGCGCTGTCCTCGAAAGTCGAGAAGTGCAGAGCGTCCAGCTGCACCGAGTACCCTCCCGCAGAAGCTGGGGCTGAGAAGCGAGTCCGGCAACTCCCGGGCGGGGTCGGCCGCTGGCTCCCTCCGGAAGCCTGCTGAGCCCCAGCTGCGGTCGCGTTGCCCGCGCCCCCTTCATAGGAGGCCGCGGTGCGAAGGTGGTGGTGGTCGCTTTTGCAGGAGGCTGGAGGCGGCGGTGGCTGTTCCCCTCCGCTGGGCGTTTGTAGCAGCTCGGACAAGGCGTTGATGTAGATTTGGGCCATCTGCAGGGTCTCATATTTGGACAGCTTCTTGTCGTTGTTGAACGACGGGATAACATTGCGCAGCTGGTCGAAGGCGTGGTTCAGCCCATGCATCCTGCGCCGCTCCCTGGCGTTGGCTGCTAGCCGTCTCTGCTTCTGCACCCCATTCACCTGTTTGCTGGAAGGGGCCCGTTGGCGGCTGCAGCCCAGCTCGTCTACCACCACCCCGCCTTTCAGCTTGCACAGCTGTTCCCGCACTTTCACCGGCCCGGGGCTCTTGCTGCTGCTGGCACCGCCGCTGCTCCTCCTTACCAGCTCCCCCCGGCCGTCCACCTCGTCCCGGGGCGCAGCGGCCTCTGAGGCACCCAGCTCCGGGGAATGTAGCAAATACTGGGCGGCGCGTGCCGTGCAGATGCCCTGCAAAGTGGGAGCCAGCCAGGCGCGTGGGTCGGTGCTGTCCAGGAGGGACAGCTCAGGCGGGTAGACGGGATGCTCTCTCGCCTGCAAAGTTGCAGGTGGCTGCGGCGGCGGCGGCGGTTGCGGGAGATGATGCGGCTGGGGCTGGCGATGGTGGTCTCCCAACTCCTTCACTTCAGCCCACTCTTCTGCATGCAGCAGGCGGGACATTGCACTGCAAAGGCTCGGAGGCTCAGGATCGGAGGCAGCACTGGGACACCAGCTCAACCAAAAAAAAGGCCCTTTCCGGGTCTCTTCTGCAACGTCTTATTTTTTTTTCCCTCCTCGACCCTCCCCCACCCACTCGGAGATCACACACCAGGTCGCGTGCAACTATGCTTCTCCGGTTGCTGAAGGCGCTGCGCCCCTTTAAAAAGCGGCACGCGCCACTCAGTCTCCCCCCGCTCCTCTCCCAACCCCCTCCTCGCGCCGGTCGCGTGTCTTCTCAGCCAATGGAGGGCGCGGGCAGGCGCGTGCGAGCAGCCAATCAAAGAGTTTTTACACCCCGAGAAAAGTTCTTGTGTGCAGAGGACTCCCAAGCCTGCTCAGGTTTTTTTTTTTTTTTCCTTCTTTTAAATTCGTCAGATTCATATGTTAATTGCAGGGCTGTAATTCGACTCCGGTGTGTGTCACCACCCCGGCGGCTGGGGTGCGGGAGCGGTGCGGAGCCGGCTCTCGGCTGGTGCCCAAGCTGACTCGGGTCAGATGTGCACGACCGCGGGCGGCTCTGGGCGATTCTGGACCCGCCAGGCGCCCAGAAGCCACTCAAAGCAGAGAGAAGGCCGCCTACCCTGTGCTGCCCCCAAGCTAGGATCACAGCTCCCACTTCTGATGCCCAAGCATTTACGATTTCTCATGTATAATAGGATGTTTGTATTTATGTATGCAGGTATTTATAAATCTCTCATGCATGTTCATAGATATATAACTGCTACATGACGTCCATCATTTAAGATTGCTGTTGGAATAAAGGGGGAAAACCCACTCGTCTCAGAGTATGTTTCTTACTTTTGCTCCATCTTTTCATTTTTTACTTCAGATCTCTTAGTTCGACTTCGTCATATGATCTTTTTCTTAATGGAAAATAGAGCTGCGGTGTAGTGATAGCACACCAAATTCCAGATCCCCCAATTCTCTCTGTCCCCTTTCCCCAGCACCCTGCGGCCAATTAGGATTGTAATCTGCCTAAATCTCTCCGTTGAGTGTAATTTAGGGCCAGAATATTTTACGGTATTATGCAGAGTTTCAACACACACAGTAGGACTCCTCATTAAATGCCCAGCCAGGGGAGGGTGCCCAAAGTAAAATGAAAGGCGCCTGCATTCCCTGCAATCCTTAACACTTTCAAGGCACAGAAGTCCCAAGTTACCTACCCTTTTGCCTCGATCGCCCTCTCTTTACTGCGGGCTCGTGGCTTCCTCAGTTTAACCTCCTCCCGCCCCTCCGTTTAGTTAGGGTGGGCTTCCCCTTTCCAGCCCCCACCCCCACCCCACTCCGCCCCATACAATCAGGGAGGTCCTTGGCAAGGGGGGGAGGCCAATTCCCAGGTGAACGCCCCCTCCGGTCCTATTAGCCTCGGCCTAGTCTATTCACAGCAAAGAGCCAATCAGAAGCTCATTGGCCCTGGGCGCGCCCCAGCTTGCGCCCAGCGCGCCCTGGCTCTGGCTCCGGGCGCTCTCCTGCACCGCCCCTGGGGCGCGGGAGTGCGATGCAACCTGTTGATGCTACTGTTGCTTTTACTTTCCCAGTGGCTGTAATCCCGAAAGGAGTCTCATCCTCTAGGAGAGATGTTAAAAAAGAGCCCAAGAGATAGCTCCCTGGAATATGTCTTTGCAATGTCCAGAGGCAGTTGAATGTTGTTTTCGCAAACATTTGCCGGGGCTTGATCTAACCTGTCATCTAGAACTCCTTGGGCAGTAGATTTTCTGGGACTGGACTGGACATATCCTATAAAGATACAGAATGGCAGAATAGGGTGCTAAAATGATGTTTAAGACATTATTCTTCACCTGTTTCTTCTTCAACCTCGTCTGTTTGCTGGTGTCTAGGAATAGTCTTGGGCGTATCTTACGTGCCAGAAACTTCAGAGCTTTATTCTTGTGTGAATGTTTGGGCTCTGCTGAAATAAATGTTAAAGACACACAAAAGCAACAACAAAAAACAAACCTAATCTGAAAACCATCCATGAGAACAAAGAAAAAGAAAAGGCCATCTAATGTATTTTTTTTTTTTTGGGCAGAAAATTCTCCGTTTGGTGATTGAAGTGGGTGTTATTGAAATCGACTAATAATGCTGTTACTATAAATAGTGCTACCATATAAAATGTGCTTCTTGAGAAAATAATTGCTAGTAGCTGTAGATGCTTAAGTAGAACTTTCAGAGAGACAATTAACTGTCATCTATATATGTATGGCAGTGTAAGCAGCTAGTGCCTGGTAGTATCGGTTGTCTATATTGCATTTTTTTCCCTATACGTCCACTTTTTTTTCCAACTCTATCAGCTGAAAATTAATCCCGAAATTCTTTCACATAATGTCACTACCAAATGTGTAGGATGCCCAAATTTTCCTTGAGCTTGCATCATCCAAACTTTGTGCTTTAAATTTGATTGTATAATACACAATATTCACTTTCCTTTGAGTTTCAACAGTTTTATGGGCTGTAGTGAAATATTTGCTGAATATATAGAATATTGGTCCTAATATGCCAGGGTTACATATAACCTTTAGTATTATTACTTTTTTGAAGCAAACGTCAATTTTTAGGTGAGTAAATTAGAATGTTCCAGTAATGTGAGGGACAGTAAGAGTTTTGGTAGTTTACGGTGAAATATATTTATTTGGCCCTTAAAATAAGTAGGGACCTATTCTTCTCCTCCCTCCCTCCCTTTTTCTTCTCTTCTTTCTCCCCCATTAGGCAGAGCTGAGGAAGCTTGTCATCTGAACTGGGGAAGGGGGCACAGGGCCTTGAGCATGGGGTTGGAGTCTGAATAGTGTGATCAGGACATCCTTAAGGACAGTGTGTGTCATAGGATGTCAAAACACCTGTATTAGTTCCTTCTCACACTGCTTTGAAGAAATACCTGAGTCTGAGTAATTTATAAAGGAAGGAGGTTTAAATGACTCAGAGTTTCACATTGCTGGGGAGGCCTCAGGAAACCTACAATCATGGTGGAAGGCAAGGGCGAAGCAGGCACCTTCTTCACAGGGGGGCAGGATGGAGTAAGTGCAAGCAGGGGAAACGCCAGGCACTTATAAAACTATCAGATCTCATGAGACTCATTCATTATCACGAGAACAGCATGGGGGAAACTGTCCCCATGATCCAATTACCTCCACCTGGGGCTGCCCTTGACACGTGGGGATTATGGGGATTACAATTCAAGGTGAGATTTGGATGGGGACATAGGGCCAAATCATATCAACAACAAATTGAGTATCTGTGGGAGCTGGATGATGGCAGCAGCAGCACAGCCTGAGGTATCACAGTTTAAGCAGAGAGAGCTTCTAGTGTGTGTGGGCAGCCAGATTAGTTACATACAGAAGGATGAATGCAAAAAAGTAAATATTTGAGGAGAACGAGAATAGATTTCTCACTGTCAGAGAAGGGAGTTGCAAATATGGAAATGGAGGAAGCTGTGGTGATAGATTTGAATTGGAGGTTTGAATATGAGTTTCTAGTTTTTAATATATATGAATAGATGATATAGAAATAAATATATATAAATGTCATGCCTGTGTGTGTGTGTGTGTGTGTGTGTGTACCTATGTATTTTGTAGTTCTTTTCACTCTCAGTGTCTCAGTGCCTGAGATTAGCAATTGAACATATCTAGCTCCCAGATTTCAGTTTCTCAATAATGTTCTGCACTAAAAAGAGCTAGGGTTCTTGGAAAAATCATTTGATTTCAGGGATGAAGCAGAAAAAACACAAGATAACAAAAACCTCTTGTTTTCTCAGAAATAAGGAAGTGTTCAAAGAATGATGGAGACATGTCAAAGTACTGTAGAAGCTTGCTTGAAGCAGCTTCCGCTGACAACCCGTAGGACAATTTGAGTATCAAAATAAGTAATGGCAGTGACAGATTATCTTCCTGAGAAATAAAGAAATCCATGAATCTTAGACAGAACAAATAAATGCCTGAAGGTTTGAGAAATAATTATTAGTTACAAAATATTTATTGATTGCAAGTAAAATAAAATTGACTCTACCATGGAGATGTATAGCAGACACCAACTTTATCAAGTGATCAAAGTTAACATCACCAGTAATGAGACAGAACAAATTTAATTTATATGCCTTCTGTTAGGATGCAGAGAATGTATTATTACTTCTATGATATTCCTGCCAAAGATGCATATCCTGAAGCCAGTTGAGAGAAAACACCAAACCAATCTATAAAGAAAGTCTAGAAAATAACCAGCCTGTAATCTTTAAAAGTGTCAAGATTGTGAAAGACAGATCAAGTCTCTATTCCAAGGTGAACCAAGGAACTATTCCAGGGTAGAGGTGGATAAAGAGAATGATAATACATCTGATGCCTGATTCTAAACTAGGTCCTTTTCTAATAAAGAACATCATTGAAACAATTGACAAAATTGGTGTCTGGGAAATAGATGGTAACAAGTTAATTTCCTCATTTTGATTGTTATATTTTGGTTACATCAGAGAATGTCCTCCTTTTCAGGGAATACTCAAAGTATTCAGAAAAAATGGGCGGCTTACTCTATAATGATTTTGTGAAAAAGGTCCTTTGTACTGTACTTACAACTTTTTTGTTAGTTTGAGATTGTTTCAGAATAAAAAGTGAAAACACTAGAAACCAAACAGGCATATTTACTTTGCTCTTTAGATGCCTAGAGTTACTAGTTCAAGTCAATTCAAGCATTATCTCTAGTGTTTTGAGGCCTGTAGTTACTGCTGAAACTTTAAGTTAAATTTTGCTCCACCCAGCCATGGTACAGTATATATCCAATGGCTTTAAGAAATCTCAGATTTTAAGGACTATTCCAATTAAAGAACTGTAATATTTCTCAAGAGGTGTAAATAAATTGAAAATTAATTTGAAATGTGTTCTCCTATAGGTTATTTTAAATAAGAATTTCCAGGTCAAGATGAATTATCCTAAGCAGTTTCTCATAGTGTCACAGATATTAACAAACAAGCAAAAACCAAAAAAAGTGTTTTTTTTAACCATTTGTTGTAGCCTTAACAGTGGGAAATAATTAAGCATTTATCCTATCATTTCTATATGAAGTATTTCAGAGTAATCAAGTAGCTTTAGTAATGACAGAAGAATATTTTAGAGTAATTCCATATAATAAAAGTAGAAGAAATAAGAGCTTTAGAAAAATCAACATTTTGCATCTCCTAATGAAAATTTTATTGAGGCAATGATTAAGAATAAATGAAACAATAGATCAAAGTATTTTGAGGAATTTTATAATGAAGGAATCAATCTGTCACTCCTTGAAATCACGGATCAATTTTAGCATCGTTTGGAGTGGGAGACCCTGATATGACGTGCTTCTTGCTTTCATGGATTATACACTACATAGTCCCCTATGAAGTATTCCTTAAAAAAAGAAAGTAAACCTGAATTTTATTAAGACTTTGAGATAACCTTCTGCTTACAGGAAATATGGAGGACATCATATTAAGTTAGATGATACCACAAGAATACAAAAAAACAAACCTATATTGTGAAACATTCTGTAGAACTAGTGTTCAGTATCAGTAAGGCTGTGACATGAAGAAAAATGGAGGGAAATGAGGAGGGACCCATCTTGATTAGGATAATCTTTAGATACAGCATCTAATGCAATGTGTGGACCTTGTTTGGATTTGGGTTCAAACAAGCTCACAATGAAAGAATTTTTAAAAAAATTATAAAAGATAAATTTGAACTCAGTATTAGAGGATACCAGTGAGTTATTATTAATTGTTTTAGGTACTATAAAAACAATGTGATTGTCTAGCAAGCTAGAGATACATGCAGAAGCAAATAGAGGTGAAATAACATGAAGTCTACGATTTGCTTTAAAGTACTTTATCAGCAATATTAATAATATGAAAAATGAATAGTAAGGCAAATATAGAGAAATCTTGATAATTGATGGATATGGTGATATAAAGATTCATTACTGTTAGTACTACTTGTACATAAAAATTTTCACAATAAAAACTATTCAAAAATCCTGTAGCATCTCACTGTTTATCATTTCAACCACATAGCTTAGTTCAACATTTAAACACCTGTGACACGGTCCTAACTTATGTTTCTAGACTGAAATTGTGTTATTCCATTAACACAGTGGTTCTTAAATTGTGATCCAGTGACCATCTACCTACATGATAATCACTTGTGATTTTTCACTTAGAAGGTAAATTCCTGGGCCCCTTCAATTCCACCAAGTCAACTTTGTGAATGAGGCCCAGTCATGTATTTTAAATAAGCACCCCTAGGGATTGTTAGGCATGCCCCAGTTTGTGAAACATTGCTCTGAAAGTTTCCCTGTGCTCTATTCAGCTACCTTATAGTTCTTAAAACATGTATTTTCTGTCACCACCAGTACACGAATCCAAATACCTATTATCCAGTCCTGTCTGCTAAAATGTAATTGAAATTTCGAGATCTAGGTCAAATGCTACCTCCTCTAGTAATTCTTCCCATGTGTCCTTCTCTGGGAGGGATTCATTAAATTACCATCTATCCTTCAACAAGGAGGTGAAGACAAGGTGTTTGAGTCTAATACTACACTAACAGCTTGTTAGAGAAGTTCAAAGTCACATTTATTATAGTTCCTAAACTTATCTAAGATTAATTGACCCCCAAGAAATGTAAACATCTTCATAATTTTATACTATAGGTATTAGTTATCTATCGTTACATAAAAAATTTCCTCCATAGTCCTTAAAACTATAAATAATTATTATATTACAGTTTATGAGGATCAGAGATCCTGAAGCTGCTTGGCTGGGTGACCCTGGTTTAGGATCTCTCGTGAGGTTGCTGTCAAGATGTCAGCTGGGGCTATAGTCATCTGAAGGCTTGGCTGGGACTGGAGGATCAACTTTCACAATGGCTCATTCACCTGGATTGGAAAGTTAGTGTTGCCTGTTGGTAGGAGGCCTCAGTTTCTCTCCATGTGAATCTCTACCCCAGAGCAAGTGATTCAAGGGAGAAAGACATAAGTCACAATATCATTTAGATCTATACTTGGAAGTTACACTCTATCATTTCTGCCATATTCTAATCATTAGAGTTGAGTTACTAAGTCAAGTCTACACTCAGAAAGGGTAATTAGGCCCAGAAGGGAAGGAAAGAATATAAAACCGTTTGTGGACGTAGGTTAAAACTACCAAAATATCCCTTTGTTTTACATCAATTTCTCTGTTCCTTTTGCAAAATTTAATTCCTCTTTATTTTACTGAGGTGGGGAAACATGTTCAGTAAAGTGAGATAAAGGTAGCAGAATTTGGTGAACCACAAGTGAAGAAAAAATTCAGACTTTTCTGTTCCTGCAAGAACTTCAAATGGCATGTGTTCCAAAACTTTATTCATAAGTCTGCCATTTACACTCTCCACAGTAACCATATTATGGTAGTTAATTTCCATTGTATTTTCTTTCCTTCCATTTTTGTGATATCTCTTTATTTCAAAGTCATATTTGTGAATTTGTTTTAAATTTATATAAGTATATCCTGAGCATTTATCTAATGGTCATTACTGATGGCTAAGGATAGTGATATGCCGGTAAATGCATAATAATTTACTCTTTGGAAAAAGTGCACACGTATTATAACAATATAAATCTATTAAGCATTTTATTGATATAAAGAATGCATGGCAGTTTGTAAATAACAATAAAATATTCAAAGTTTGTTATTGGAAATCCTCTAGATCTAACAGATTCTCACAGAATCCTTGATTTCATTGATTTTTGCCATTCTTGTATCCCTAACTAATCAATGATTGCAACTGATGAACAAATGTAGTTCCCACATGAATGTTGGTTGGTATTTTTCATTTGTGGTTAATGAGTAAGATGAAAGTGAAATGACAATGAAGCTGTTTGTCAGAATTCATTTGAGAATCAATGACGTGTGCAACTTCTTTGCTGAGTAGGATAATAGTTTTCAAATACTGGAAGAATACGTGCTCAATCTTTTGTGCTATTCATGTAATGGCTACAGACTTTGATATACTTTTCAGTTTAGTCTGCATTATTAATATTTTCTCTATCGCTTTCTTAAGACTAGACAATCAATAAAACAATAAATCCAGCCAGGATTTGTGGCATTTGCTAATTTCTGTTGGTGTAAATACGAATGTTGCTAAATCAAACGGACATTTTCTTAGGCTATATATTAATTGACCTGCTCTTCAACTTTTGACATAGTTGAACACATTCTTTTCAAATCTATCTTTTCTCTTGACTTGGGAATACCATATTCTTTGTTAGTTCTCCCTTCTTCTCAGGTTGTTCCTTCTTGATGTCTCTTAAGGAGACTTTTCCCTTACTAGGCTTGGTACCATGCTCTAATTTCCTCTTAATCCATATATGTCATCTATATTCCAATCAATACCAAATTCTTATCTCTAGCCCAGTCCTTTTTCAATGATTTTCACTGCTCTTAAAATAAGCACAAACATCAATAAACAACACTAATTTGGAGCATCACTAATGTTTCCCTGAGGAAGTAAAAAGTGAAAGTTGAAAAAGAGTTAGCTCAGGAAAGGTGAACCCACAAGCAACAATTAGAACAGCAGCAGCAGCAACAGCAAGAACAGCAATGGCAACAAAGGATCCCTTCACAGTGGTCCTTATGTCTTCTGTCTCCCATTCAAGTATTAACCAGGCGCAAACCTGCTTAGCTTCTGAGATCAGACAAGATCAGGCATGTTCATTTATCTCTTCTTTCTCACCTCCACCACTCTTCCACTCTTTCATGGTCTTCTAGGCACATTGGTCTTCTTTACTTGCTCATATTACCAAGCGTCTTCCCACCTCAGGGCTTTCACACAAATGCTATAGTTTTTTTGGTCTTGCCTGTCCCTTTCTTATCTAGTTATCATCTGCTCAACTTTAAAGTTGTATTTCCTCAGGAAAGCATTCCCTGGTTTCCCAGAATAGGGTTGTTCCATGTTTTACATGTTTTATGATACAGAATGAGCATCCTAAATCCAAAAAATCCAAAATCTTCCAAAGTTGCAAATTTTTTGGGAGCCAAGATGACACCACAAGTGCAAAGTCCCACACCTGATCTCATGTGATGGGTTGCAGTCAAAATGCAGTCAAAACTTTCCTCTATGTGCAAAATTATTTAAAATATTGTATAAAATTACTTTGAGGCTATGCATGTGGGTGCATTTGAAATAAATGAATTTTGTGTTTGGACTTGGATCTCATCCCCAAGATATCTCATTATATGCAAATATTCCAAAATCAGAAAAAAATCAAAATCCAAAACACTTTTGCTCCCAACCATTTTGGAATACTCAACCTAGACCTTATATTTGTTTCCTTAGTATTGAAAATCATTATCAACAATTATCTGTGTCATTATTTATTTAATATTTGTTTCTCCTCTGTCTCCCTCCATCTCTGCCAGTGAGGCTATTCTGTTCACGGGCCCCTTGTGCAAGCACTGGGGTTGCTGAGGAAAGAAACTCGCTGACTTTCACTGGCTGAATCATCTTTACCACTTGGCTGTTCGGTGGTAGATGGTCTCCAGGGGATATTGATAGGAGACAAAAAGATCTGCACATTTTGTATTCACTTCTATGGATCCCTCTACATGAGTCTTCCTCATATCTTCTAGACCCCACTCTTCCAGTCTTGCTCCTTACAAGTCCATGATTAACCAGCCACTGCCCAGGAATTTATTTGTGTTCTTACCTCAGACCATTTCTCTCTTCATACAGAGCTGATGACAGAGTGAACCATGCAGGACTTCCCCTTAACACTGTTTTCCAAGGCCTCCTCTGAGACAGGCTGTAGTGCAACAGAGGCTTATTTTCATCTTGCAAACATATTAAGTCACCCTATCCATGAACCAAGCCTGAGATTTTCCTTCTCCATTTGCTATTTCTTCTCTACTAGCTCACTAAATATGAGGCATTGATGAAACTAAGTAAGTAATGTAAAGGTCTGGGACACTAGCGTGTGTAACTTACTTATGTTCTCTGAACCTGCTTCGATCTGATCCAGAATATACCATTTTCACAATATGATGAATTCCTATTGTGCCTCCCTCCACAAAGTTATGACTTGATGTAATATCAGGATAAAAGTAACTAGCCTCAGTTTCACAGTCACTTAATATTCCTTGGTTGGGAGTTCAGTCTCTATTTAGGTCCAGTAGCGTGACAGAATCTACTTTCAGAATGCTGAATAGTTCTCTGCTACAGATAGTACAGCTTGCTGCATGCCCTTGGTGGTCTTTGCTGTGATTCTTCTGTGGGGGCTTTCAGAAGATTGTACACGGCATTCTTATGTATCATCTCAAGTGCTTCTAGCATCATGGAATTTACTGAATCATATGACCTAAATGGCAGGGATGCTTGTTCCACAGCTTAAATCTGTTGCAAAGCCCCACTCAAAACTATTTGCCATCTGAGTCAATTGATAAAGGAGTCAGAGCTGTATTTCTAAATATGGCATGTGTTATTTCCAAAATCCAAAGAGGATTACCAGGCATTATACCTTTCTTCATGGCATAGATGCAAGGAGTAACAAGTTGCCCATTTCTTTGGGTGTGTTTTAGCATTTCACAAACTCATGGAATTCTTGAAACATCACCAATTTGGCTGAATCTTGGTCTTTGTAAGGTAAATCCCTGACCCTGTTCCATGAGAGGGCCGTATAGGCAAAGCAGCCCCCAAAATGCTGAAGGAGCTGGGAAATTGAACAAGGAGGCAGATGAATGTAGTTTGTTGGTAAGGAATGCTTTGCTGGGGGACTTACAGACAGAAACCTGATATTGGGTGGTCACTATACAGGTAGATTACACCTTTACTTTCCAGATTCAGGGCTTATATACCATGTGGAAGGGGTATAGGTGCTCCAGCAAGACAATCAAAGGTAGAACAGGCAAGAATACTATGTGGGTCATAGCCCATAATTTGCGTAATAACATCAAGGTTGACATGTTCTTACACTAGGAACAGTAAATACAGTAGGAATTGGGATGCGTCAGGGTGTCTGGGGCTAATGAGAAGACAGCATGGTGGATTTGCATTCAAGATGAAGCCACTTTGTCTCCACACACCCCCTGGGCCCACATATGCCTCACAAGGGCATTTCTTATAAAGCTTCTTTCTCCTCCCTAGGTCTAATCAAAATGATGTTCTGCAGATGTTCTGCAGAAGGTCCAGATGGCAAAGGTCCCTTTATAACAAGAACTATATTGTGAAGGAATGTTAGCATACCCCTTTTCAAGATCATGAATGTATGCTGTTGCTCATTCCAAGTGAATGTGAACTGCTTCTAATCAGCCTTTCTGATAAACTCACCAGATCAGTAACTACATAATAAATGTAGCAGTAGCCCGCCAGCCAAGATTGGGTAGCTAAAATATGCACTGAGAAAGAATTCAGGGAATAGTTTAACTAGAATTTCAGCTTTTGGTATTGACAGTGAAGCGGGATGCTTTTTTCCCTGAGTTGCCCTGGGGAGACGATTCTCCATTTCTGGTTTACAAGACCAGAGTATTGGATTATACTACAGGGGCACTTTCATTTAAGTAGTTTATTTATAATTAGGCTAGTGAGAGGTATAAGGGTGAGGCCACTTAGTTCAGTTCCCCGTAGTCTATTGTCATCTGCCATGATCCAACTGATTTTTTGCAGGTATCAGACTAGCAAATTAAATAGGCACATAATAGAGATCACACTATTCCTGTCTCTTTTACTGGCACACATACTTTGAGAATGATACTCTGTAGTTTCATCTAGTATGTGATATTTTTCTGATTTAGTATCTTGGAGGAGGTACACTTTCAGACACTGTCACTTGGCTTTTTCTGCCACTATAGTTTTTAATTCAAGGGTTAGGGAGGAAATGTGAGGTTTCTGACAACTGCTAAGCTTATCCATCTAAGTGATACACTTAAGGACTGGAAAAGTGACCATTACCTTTATGCCCATTGGACCCTTGTCAGATGAACTTGGGCAGGAGCCTATTTATCACCTGATCTTCACATGCTCTCATTGTAGCAAAAGATCCATGATGGCATTTTGCTTCTTCTGCTATCAGTGTCAGCTCATACCCTGTATTTTAAAAAATTAATATTTGCGGGGTTTTTAAATTTCCCAAGTATATTCTGGCAACTATTTGTAGGTCCATTTGCAAAAGGATTGGAGGAGTCCTCAAGGTAACCTGGCATCCCTTGCATTAATTGGTTCAAACTCGCTCAGGTGCAGAAAGTAGAAAAAAAGATTAGTTCATAGTTTTTGTGATGGCTATTTGTCCTACCTGCTTTTGGTCCTTTCTGTTTATATGGATCATTCAATACCTTGGTTAGCTACCTGCATTTGCTTCCTACTGGTACTGAAACAAATGTTTTGGTCAGAGTTATCCAGGAAAAGAGAACTAATAGGAGATTTTTAATATATTTATTTATTTTAAGGAATTGGCTCATGTGATTTTGGAGGCTAGTGAATCCGAAATCCATAGGGTGGGCCACCAGGCTGGAAACTCAGGCAGAAGTTAATGCCACAGGTTTGAGGCACAATGTCTTCTCTGGGAAACCTCAATTTTTGCTCTTCAGGCCTTCAACTCATTTGACGTGGTCCACCTATATTACTGTGGGTAACCTTTCTTACTTAAAGTCAACTGATCGATTGTAGATATTAACCACACCTATAAAATACTTCCACAGTAACACCTGGATTAATGTTTGATTGAATAACTGAGTGTTATAGCCTAGCCAAGATGACAAATAAAATAAACCATCACCACAAACTATTACAAACGTAGTTGCTCAAAAACACACAACGTTTATTACCTTAGTGTTCTGGGAAGTTAGAGGTTTGAAAACAGTTTCCCTAGACGAAAATCAAGGGGTCAGCAGGGCAGCCTCCAGGGAGAATCCATTTCCTTGCCTTTGCCAGCTTCCGCAGGTTGCTTGCATTTCTTGACTCATCCTCTTCCTCTAGCTTCAACGCCAGCAGGTTAGCATCTTCAGATCTCTCTCTCTCTCTCCCTCAGCTCTGTTTCTGTTGCCATAGCTCCTTCTCTGACTCCTGCCTCATTCTCTCCCTTACAAAGATCTTTGTGATTATCTGAGCACACCCAGCTAATCCAGGATAAACTCCTCATCTCAAGATTCTTAATTTAATCACATCTACAAGTCCCCTTTGCCATGTAAAGTAACATATTCACAGGTTCTAGAGGATTAAAATGTGGACATCTTTGGAGGGGTTCCGTTATTCAGAATACCATATACCTATCTATTGTGCCCCTGGAAACTATTGCCACAGATCCTTGGGAGTTAGGGTCTCTGATTTCCATTCTGGCTTTGCTTCCAAATACAATAATTACATTCACTTTTCTGCTGACAGTAAAGTGACACCACCTGGCTTCTACTATCCCAGAATCCTATCATCTCAATGACATTGATTGGCTTATTTCATGGCAGCTTTCGTGATGATACACCTCAGCCTAACAAGGACAGATTCACCGAGTCTCTCAACAAGGCCTGTGTCCTCATACTGTCACTCTGTCTTTCAAATTAGTGAAGGGAATGTCCTCTGGGATCTCCTGGGAAATGGTCAGCCAGCTGATGGGGTCTCTGGTCTTAAGCATTAAATCCATTCAAGCAAAACTCCTGCCTAAGTCTTTCCCCCCCTTTTCTCAAAAATTTGATAAGGCTGTTCTGGCATTTCTACCTCATTTACTATAGGTTAATACTTTTCCCAAATTTAGGAAATCCATTCGAGTATAATATTAGGACTTCTTGAACATGAGATCCTGAGTTATGGGTGCGTTCCTCTACACTATTGTCTTAGTCTGTTTGTATTGCTACAAAGGAATGTCTGAGGCTGGGTAATTTATAAAGAAAAGAGGCTTATTTGGCTCACAGTTCTGCAGGCTGTACAAGAAGCATGGTGCCAACATCAGCTTCTGGTGAGAGCTTTAGGCTTCTTCCTCTTTTGCTAGAAAGGGAAGAGGAGTGAGCATTCAGAGGTCACATGATGGGAAAGGAAGTGGGGGTGGGGAGGTGCCAAGTTCCTTTTAACAGCTAGCTCTAAGGGAAATCTCCAGAACTAACAGAGCAAGAACTCACTCTTTACTACGAGTTTGGTAACAAACAATTCATGGGGGGATCTGCTCCCAGGATACAAACGCCTACCATTAGGCTCCGCCTCCAATACTGAGGGTCAAATTTCAATGTGAAATTAGAAAGGGTCAAATATCCAAACCACAGCAACTAGTAAACTGCCTTTTCCAGTCTTAACTGATACCCTTTTCCTCAGTCACCCACCTAAAGATCCATTCTAAGGCATCTATACTCTAGGTTCGTCTCAGAATATAACAGCTAAATGTTGCAGAATTTTTGGTGAATAATGGCTTTGCTTCCAAAATAGAATGGCACTTCTGCAGGTGGGCCATGCTAAGATTGGAGCTAGCATTATGCCTGTAAACTATCAGAAAGGTGAGGTGAATCTTGATGAAAACAACTATTATCTTGTGAGGCATCTTACTCACACGAATTCTCTGCATGGTCTCTAGGCAAAGGAAATTTGCTAATCTTGAATACCAAAGAGTGAGTCACTTTAAGAGTCCTAGATGGTTCAGCAGAATATAGAGATTCAGGTGCATCCACTCAGATGTTTCCATTTTGGTCGTCACGTTCCCATTTCTTCTCTATCTGGGTCTTGAGTTTAGCACAATACATTTGCCAAGGCTGTGTAGTAAATCTTTGCAATTTTGCTACTCTCACAATCAGGCTTTGTTTTCCGTCTGTGCTGCCCTCTGATTGTGGTAGCTACAGGTGTCATAGAGATTTTCTGAATTTAACATCATGTCCTGAGTTGGTGATTGGCTGACTTGAGTCCACCATTTTCCCTCAGTGGTGTATCCATGATACTCAAAAGCAACCTATCATTTCTGCAGTCTTTCATGACAACTATTATTGTCATATGTCTGAAATAGTAGAGATATTGCATAAACCCTTTACGTCCCCTTCCTCCTGCATTCTGTCTCAATTCATCACCAATGAGACTCTTAGTAATACTGACCCTACCAGGGGTTGTCACAGCCCACTTAGCAGTAACAATGCAGTCTTCGTTGCTATGGATAGATTTCCAGGGCTATTTCCAAGGCTAAGGATGGATGGATTTCCTGAGCTATCTCCAGTACAAATTATTTTATTTCGGGTTCTCCTAAAAGTAGATACTTATATAGGGATTTAGGTTGTGGTAGAATGAATAGTTGCTTTTAAATGGTATGTTAAATTGTACATAATTGTATTCTATATTTAAATATTTGACGGTATACATGCTAATAATTAGTTTTTATATTACTTTTAATGGCAAACAATTAGTTATTTATATTACTTTTAATGGCAAAAACTGCAGTTACTTTTGCACCAACCTAATAGTTCCCCTTACATACTACATGAAAAATTAAATTCCAGATGAATTAAAAAGTAAATCTAAAAACACGAAATTATAAATATATTTAGAGTATAAGGTAGGTAATCTTTGAACTGATATCAGGCTGATTAAGGGAATTCTATGCCTAAACTTGCTGAAAGATTAATTCAGTAATTAATTTAATAAATTAAATAACAATATTTATTATTAATACTTTTAATAATAAAAAATCACAAACTATAGTAAATTATAACAAAATAATATTTTTTCATGCATAAACATCACAAAAATTAAAAGTAAATGACAAACTGGAAAAATATTTGCAATTAATCTGACACACAGCGAGTTAATATGCATCATATAAATGGAACTATTAAGTTTGATAAGAAAATGAATAGTTCCTGATAGAAAAACAGCCAAAAGATAAGAGCAGGTAATTCGTGAAGGGACAGTAAACATGGTTCATAAAGATGAAAAAAGTATTCAATCAGGAAATGCAAATTAAAACAAAAAGAAAGTTTCGGGTAATTGTTTTAGATTGAACACGTAGATGTCCTTCTCAAACACCATTAAAAAGGACACAAAAGGCATAAATGCAGAATACAAGGGAATGGCTGAAGAAACAGTAACAAATCAAAGATGTCAACAAATGTTTACAGACTGGAACCAGATGGACAAGTGATAACTGACTTAGCAGAGCTGAGAAAGCCTACACCTTAGTCTGTAGGGAAAGCCAGAGAGAAAAAGATCAATTCCTGCCCTAGCTCCCTGAAGATGCTCAGATGTTGGAGGCACCAGGTATCTCTGAAGGCAGGGGTGAGGGAAGGGTTGATGGAGGACAGACTGCAACCTAATGTTGCTATTGCTGTGCATACAAATTGGGACATCTCTGTATTTCTGTTTCCTTTGTTATGTATCTCCAATCTAAGTTGAGCCCTGGTCCTTTGTAGAGTAGTAAACAGTAATGATTCCTTCATGTACTCTCATTAAAACTTCCAAAGTATTTTCATATGTATTGTTGCAATTGAGACAATTTAAAAAATCTGTTTTGAAGACGGAATCCTTGTTTTGAAGACAGAATCCATACACTATGGCCATGATACACCTACAGTAGCTATATTCTTGGCATCACTTGAATGTACATCACAGAATGACTCTTTGGGTGGAAGTTTCTAAGTCATAATTCTGATAATCAACTTAGGAGAATATTGTATCAGTTCTCTGGAATTTATTGTGGAAAACAAATCCAGAATGTATTAAATGCATGTATATTAAGCACTCTATATGTGTACAACAGAACACAACCAGGCAAACAAATTTAAGACTTAACTCTTAGTAAAAGCTGAGACGCTTCTAATTCTGTTAGGCTGAAGATGAGGTTTCTTAGTGTGGTCTCTAAGACAGCATAGCTTCGTTGCTACCCACCTATATATTTCACCTCTTACCATTCTAACTTTTGCTTTCAGGGCTGTAATCACTTGAACCTGCTTTCAGGTCTTATTAGCATTTCAATTCTCAGATGAGAACTGGGTCCCTCTGTCTGAAATGTTTTATACTCCCCACTTCTATTTTTCCAACTTCTGCTCACTGGTCTTTAGTTCAAGCTTTACTTCTTCCAGCAAGTCTTCTAAACTTGGTTAGGTTTCTTTGTCATACACACTCCTGGTAGCTTATTCCTTTCCTCAGGAATTTTTCTCAGTTGGTAACTACACATTCATTGGTATGATTATTGAATATCTTTCTCTGAGCCCAGAATGTGAACTCCATGATTTTGCTCACTATGTTATATCCATTGCTTAATTCAGTGTCTCGGACATGGTTGGCATTCAATACAAGTTGAAAGAAAGAATGCTTTCAAGAAGTTTAGCCTTTTTTTAGTAGTTGCTTCAAATAATAGTTTACTTACTACCAAAGTTTGACCTATTAAAAAAAATTCTCTGTGTTGATTTTCAGCTTACAGATATTTAGTTTTGTTTGTGGGGAGTGAAAGATGGGGTATTTGGGATTATATTTAGAGTAGGTGCTGCCGTAACAAATGATATTATATCTTGCTGGTATAAATTATATATATTCAGTTCAAAATAAATTTTATTAAGTGAAGAATTGCTTGACCATTCTGGAATATTGATTGTAATTATCAGTTAGCATCTATCTGATTCAGATATCAACAGATACTCTGTTAACATTGAAGAGTTCTCTATAAATTCTGGGTTTTATAAAGACAATGCAAGAATTCAATAGACAAGAACCGAATCCACGTGAAAGATTAAAAACCAATTGTACTTTACCAAGCAGTCAGTTTAAGCCTAACTATATATATGGCATACTGGAAAAGACACACAGCAATATTCCTCTGTTAGTAACTTCCAGTCTCTCCTGCTATAGAGCTTATGGAACTGTCTCTTCTGGTGCCATTCAGATTATTTTCTTCATTCTTAACCCAAAGTCTGTACTCCACTGACTTCCTTTATTTTCCACAGTGATTCATGTCTTACCAGGTTCAGTTAGAACAATCACTTAAAAAAAAGTCCTTGTTGTCAATAGTAGAGAGCTCTTAGTCTGTTTGAAAGTGTGCAGAATTCAGACTTTAATTACAGAAACTTCCCCACTCTCCCCACCATTGTGTCTATTGGCCCAGTTCCATCTACTGCTGAAACTTCTAACGTGAGTTCTCTGAAAAGCCTGGCACTCTCCCCAGCTATGGGGAGTGGCTGGTCTCTGCATTCAGATACCTCTTTCTGCAAAATGCTGCCTGCATTATTCCTTTCCATCCTGAGTGTCTGTCTCTCACTGGGCAGTCTCTGCATTCTGATGCGGCAGTGGCAGAGTTGATTGCCTCTGACTTTTGAAAGAGAGGTACAATTTGTAGATTGAAGCTAACTTGAAATGTTCACTGTGTGTCATTATCAAACGTCACCTTGGCTACCCCTGGCTGGTGTTTTACTATAATTGTTTCGAGCTCACTCATATGTTATCTGTGTTAGAACATTGTCTCCCTTCCATACCGCCTTGGAAAAGCAAGTACAGACAAACTATTAATTAAAGTAATTTGTTTTTATTACCAACTTTAATCACCAAAGAAGGACTTGGAGTTCAATCAGGAAAATTATTTATTGACAAAATTTTTATTGATAAAATAATCTATCAAAGATTCATGAAAAAAATTAAAAATCTCTGAAAAAGAAAATTATATCAACCAAGATAGTAAAAAGTATGTCTGTGGGAAAGGAAGAGTTTTCTGCTTGGGGCTGGCTATGTAAGCTACATCAGTAATACCAAGGATTTTATTTCTGAAAAAGAAACTAGGATGTAGTATCGCAACTTACAAGAAAGGCTACTGTACGACAAACGTGTGGCCGTAGGTGACTCCATCCCCTGCCCAGTCTTATTCACTCTGGTACCTGTTCCAACATCTTAATTTGGTTCCCAGCTTGGATCTGTCTATTCTCCTTTCTCAGCTACCATGACCTGGAGATCATCTTGTTTCATATGCTTGGTCTGACATTTCAGCAACAGCTTTTCTTCCTGGCTTGGGCCTGCTCTTTGCTGGATCCTTTGGCTCAGTGCCTTTGACCTTGGGTGGCGGGTACTCTGAGTCTCTCTGGCTCCCTTCCCACAGCAAGTGGTGGTTGTAAACTACAATATAAGACACTGTTTTTAATTGCTAATGTTTTTTAGGTATTAAAATTAACTTTTAATATTATAGCCATAGGAAAAAGTCTTGGAATTTCTTAGTTCACTGAATTGGTGTGTGAAGTCAGCCATTCTGACTTATAGCAAGAAGGAAATTGTGAATTATTTTCCATTCCATTTGAAAATATTTTGGAAACTGATATAAACAATGAATCGATTTTTCCCTGTGATCTGCCTTCCTTGCTCTAGGAAGCTGAAGAATGAATTGTAGTTGAAATTTTCTATTTTAGGCTTAAGACCTTATTACAAAGTTTCTTGGATGCCAATTCTATCAGATCTTTTGTACATAGTCACCATTCTATTCGCTCAGGAGAACTTTTATAGAAACTTTATGTTATTCCTGGAGATACATGCTAATACGGCCTTAGTTTTGGATAAGCATGTGTATTCTAAGTTGAAAGACCTCCCTTTGTTTAAAGGATTGCTGGGTATCGGTATCGTGGCTTCATGGGCACTCTAAGCTTCTACACAGGACTGAAAGGGAGTCAGAGTTTCAGCCTGGAATACATTACGACTGGTCCAGTGAGACTGAACTCAAATTGGATCAGCCAATCAGAATCCATATGAAATAATCAGAAATGGAAGGCCAGGCTAAGCTTGGTCAAGTGGGTAAGATAGATAGGAAAAATGCTGGCATTCCTCATTGTGTGGATGTTTGTGTGTTTGTGTGTATGTAAGGGGAGCATATGGGATTTTAAAGCCAGAAACACATCTTATCATAGGTCTGTTAGACAGACAGGGAGTCGACAAATCAAAAATCAGAGAAGTAAGAGTCAGGTTGGCATCAGGGATAAACTGCTAAATGAAGAAATGTGTCACCAAATCCTTGCTTTAAATAAGTGTCTAGGTATCTCCCTTGGCAGCCCAATTATCACAGGTCAGGCAGTCAGGGAAGGCTTGTATTTTGTTTAATGGGGTCAGTGTCTCCTTTAACCAATCTTCTTGCTTTATTTTCGGAAGCATGCGCTTTCCTGGAATGGCTGGTGACTCCCCTGGCAGCCAGAAAGAACCCAGATGATTCCCTGAACCACTGCAGTAGTTCTCTGGGGCCAAGAATGGGTTCTCTGTGGACAACTGTCCATCAAGAGGGCTGGCTGATATCCAGGTCCAGTGGTATGTTAATGGTGGAATGTCTCTATGGCAGTAGAGCCCCGGTTTTGGTCCTCCGGACTACTTCTTTGTCATTCTGTGAGGTATCAGAATTTCCATCTGAAACTAGATATCCAGGAAGGCATGTACTTCATCTTCTTTGTACAATTCACTTGTGTAAGGGTGAGAGGTAGGAACAGAGTGGGTAAGAGTACATCCTTCAGGTGAATTATAGTATTGTATTACGTAGAGAAGATGAAGAACCCATGGAAATGGGGTGATTAAAAATAACAAAGTTTACAAAGTTCTTTCACATACTTTTCACTTGATTCTCACAACAACCCTGTGAGGTAGGTACAGTATATAATGTTTTTACTTTTATTTTGCAAAGAATGACACCAAAGACCAGAAAGTAGGTGATTTGCCCACAGTCATGGTAAGCACCAAGACCCAAACTTGAAGCTCTGTCTTTTGACTTTATAGCCTGATTTTCACCTGTGAGCAGCTACAACTTGAGGGTTATCAGTTTGATGACATAATGAAGAAGGTGCTCAGTAAGTGAACACCTAACTTGTTTGAAAGTCAGATTATTTAGAAATAATATATTAGTAAAAGAACCCATGGGATCACTACTTGTAGAGGCTCCTCCTGGACTGCTGCTTGTTGGCTTTAATCTTTTAGGTTGCTTTGGCATAATAGATCATCTGTGCATCAGCTTGGGCAACTGGGAGCTCCCTGGGTGCTTAAGGAACAGAGATGAGGGAATACTTATGGCCATTGTTAGCCTGTTCTAGCACTCTTCATGCTGTTTAATCATCTGGATTCCCCACTGGAATGCAAACTTCTTAGGGAAAGGATTCTGACTCATTCATCATTGTATTCCCAAAATGTAATACAGTGCTTGGCACATAGTGGTCCTCAATAAAAACTGATTGAGTTCATGAGGGGCTGGGATATTTCATATGATGCTTCCCTATTTTACTTGTAAAATACATTTTGCATTGAAGAGGTATTATAAATGAATGTGGAAGTGGGTATAAGGAAAACAAACTTATCTTAGCGCTGGGTAGTATATACAGGCACTGCAATTCCAGGGTGTAATCCTAAGATCCAAGTGATCTTTGTTTACAATGACACATGTACTAAGTGTGGATTCAAACTGGAGGCTCTACATTAGCCAGGAATCCATGCAAAATGTAGACATTTGATGGCCATTGGGGAAAAAGGTAATGTCCCTTGGTGTGGAGGAAAGTAGCCAATTTTGGTAAGTATGAAATAATGTTGTTCTAGAAATATGGAGAGAATTCTGTGATAAAACCTCCAAAGATGTTTAACCACAGTTACCAGTGATTCAATAAGCATTAGAAGAGCCGTCTGTCTTTTTCTGGTTAAGTTCTGCCATTCTCCTTGGTCCTTCATGTCTCCCTAGATCTCTGGCTATGAGAAGTCCTAAGACCCAGAGTTTAAAATCGTGCACAGATAGAAGCTGAGGACAAAGCTACTGTGGTATAGACTTGGACCTCAGTGTGAGTGCTCTTGACCAGGACATCTAGGCAAGAAGTCCACTGCATAGAAGCATCCTTCTAAGGCTAATGGGCTGGCGCAGGCAAGATCCATGACCTGTGGCTGAAAGCAGCAGTCCTGTCGTTACTCTTCTATGAGTGGATTACAGCAAGGATTTCTGTGTGTCACAATCTGGTGAGGTCAGCTTCCTTGAACTGGATAGGAGTTTTTAATTTAGGAGATAATACATTAGCTCACCAGTTTTGAATACAGGATCTAATGGGTCCTGAAATCAATAAGGTGGAAAACAGATCAGCAGTTCTTGTGCTGGTAGAGGTTATGGGTCATCCAGGGGTCCTCCCATTTGTGATGATTGGTGCAGGCTATGACTGGATGCCTGGCTTCTCCAGGTATTGCTGCCAAGTTTCAAACATGGCCTTAATGGCCAAGCATTCCTTCTTTCAGATATTGTAGTTTCATTCTGCAGGGATGAAGCCTGTGGGGAAATAAAGCATAAGGTCACATCAAGGTTGATTTTAGACAAAGTTTGGCTTTCCATGGTCCTATCACTACTTATAAGGCATTGGCTCCACCTTAAATGTCCATCGTAAACAAAGTGGAGCATGATGATTGATGATGCATACCTCCCTCCCATGTAGGGCTTCACAGGTTTTCTAGACTCCAGGCAACTGTCAAAAACCAGAGCATATTGGCTGCTGGTTCAATAGAACCTGTTTCAAGGAGGGCTTTGGAGTTCATCCAGGTCTGGATTAGGATACTTTGGTAGTTTAGAGTGGATAAGGACTTCAATATCTTCACCAGAAAATAAAGGCAGTATCGCTCTCACATGGAGAGTCAACAGAGAGTTCTACCAAAGTTGGTGTCGATATACAGTCACACATGAAATCCTGGAGCCTGTTTGCTTAGATCTTGAATCTTACATCTTGACTTTTAGTTATTGGTTCCAGACCATGCATAAACTTAAAAACACTAACAATTAATAATAAATATATAAATTGTACTATGTTTATAATCACAAATCAAATTTGATTTTGTCAAACACATTTTAGCCTACCCATATGAATATACGCTTTTTTTTGTTTATTTTTTTATTTTTCTGGAGTCTTGCTTTCTTGCCCAGGCGGGAGTGCTGTGGCGTTATCTCAGCTCACTGCAACCTCCACCTCTGGGATTCAAGCAATTCTTATGTCTCAGCTTCCCGAGTAGCTGGGACCACAGGCACATGCCACCACACCCGGCTAATTTTTGTATTTTTAGTAAAGATGGGGTTTTACCATATTGGTCAAGCTAGTCTCAAACTCTAGACCTCAGGTGATCCACTTGCCTCGGCTTCCCAAAATGCTGGGATAACAGGCGTGAGCCACCACACTCGGCCGAATATATGCTCTTAAATAAGAAACTTCCCTTTTTCTTGAAACCTGAGGAGTAGATGGCATATTTCAGCCATTAAATAACAGAATCAAAAACTGTAAATCAACAGCAGGAACCCTGAATGTGGACACAAACTGTGAATCTTAACTTAGGCCTGCATCAGAAGGGATCAGTGTGATCCTTACCTCTATGTCCTTGTTAGGAGAGCTTGTACCTAGGTTTCATGTTTATCAAAATCTTTGCTAATGTTACAGGATTTAGAGAAGACTGAGTGTTTCTAATTGTGTTAGTGGATTGATAGCACTTACCAGATAAATTGAATCAACCAACCAGTTATTTCAGCAAGTAATTTGACTGAACTAAGTGTAGAAATCAGCTCTAAAGACCTTGGAAGACACCAGAATTCCCATAGTAAGGTCTGTGAACACTAATTTCAAAAACAGTTTTCTCATTAGGCACACTTGGGAAACACTGCATTTTATCTACCTCTCTTGAAGATTTAATTATACAAGTTTTAAAGATTTTGAGAAGTCCAGTACAAAATAATTTATTTAACTATGTTTAAATCAATACGTCCCTAACATTTCAACATGAAGTTAAGTTTTTGAGTCATGTTTATTAGCATCTTTAGAACTGGTGCTACATAAAGAAACATTTAGGGAATTTTAGACTAGCATGCAGTGTGAAGAAATACTCATTTGCAAAATTTACACATTTCTTCACCAAAAAATAAATTAAGCTATTACTAATTATCTATTACTGTAATTGTGTTAAATTAAGCTAGGTACTTTGGAAAATAGAAAATGCACTGGTATACAACATAAAGTCTGCCCTGGATAGGCTCATAATCTGGTTGGGAGATACATCTACCATATTACATAAAACAATATCAACCACCTAAAGATTCCACATAACCAAGTACTAAGTTAAACAATGAAGACTAATAGATATAGTAGTTGCAGAGAGGAAGATAAAGTTTTAGAATAATAAAAGAAGAAATCATGGAGGAGGTAGGACTGGTTTTATGGGATGGCTAGGCTTTTGAAAGGTTGAGGGCATTTTTACTTGAGGGGCCCTGTGACTTCAAAGAACAAAAAGTTGTGCAGCAAACAACTCTTCTGCTGTATTAGAATCATTAAATTCTAATATTTCTTAAGGACTTCTTACCCAAGAACAGAATGTTACAGAGTATGGATCTCTTTTATTTGTCCCATATAGTCACATGATGCATAAGGATGTCTTGGTTAATGACAGACTGCATATATAATAATGGTGTCATAATATTTTAACACCATATTTTTACTGTACCTTTCCTATGTTTAGACATGTGTAGATATGCAAATACTTACCATTGTGTTACAATTGCCTGCGGTATTCTGTACAGCGGCGTGCTGTACCGGTTGGTAGCCTCAGAGCAATAGGTTATATTATATAACCTAGGCGTGTAGTAGGCTAAACCATCTAGGTTTAGGTGAGGATACTCACTCTGTGATGTTCACATTTTGACAAAAATCACCTAATGACTCATTTTTCCTGAATGGATCTCCATGGTTAAGCAACACATGACTACTATTAGAGTTCTTACCTGGTATATTATAATGAGTTGTTTAATTGTCTGTTGTCTGTGATAGTCTCATGGATGGTGGGGACAATTTTTAATTTATTTTTACATCCTAGTTTTAGATCCTAAGGAACACCTTGACATTCAGGGGCATCATGGTAGATGACACTGACCTTCAGGCTGGCTTGTAAAACCTGCAAAGTGAAGGACCCTTGGGATTCTGAGGGTCACATGAATGGTATGCTGTGCTTTTTTTCCTTTTCTCCCTAACATTGAAGATATAGGAACTGTGCAGCCAGGAAGCGCCACACACCTGGCAATTGGATGCAGTGTGATGATGGTTGTAGTTTTTTACATTTTTGTTTTTAATCTTTAGGAAAGTCTTTTGTCTGCTTTTTCAATTGTTGCATTCACACTTTGCAGTGGCATAAATGCTAATCAGAAAAAGGTAAGCAATTTTAAAAAAGGAACCACATAAAATCATATGATAAATTTGTGTAGTATATTTGAAAAAGGTGTTTTTTGTTTTTTTTTTTGAGACGAAGTCTCACACTGTTGCCCGGGCTGGTGTGCGTTGGGGCAATCTCGGCTTGCTGCAGCCTCCATCTCCTGGGTTCAAGCGATTCTTCTGCCTCAGCCTCCCGAGTGGCTAGGACTACAGGTGCGTGCCACCATGCCCGGCTAATTTTTGTATTTTTAGTAGAGACACGGTTTCACTATGTTGGCCAGGTTGGTCTCGAACTCCTGACCTTGTGATCCGCCCATCTTGGCCTCCCAAAGTGCTGGGATTACAGGTGCGAGCCACCGCACCCGGCCAAAAAAGGTGTGGTTTTGAAGGGAGAAAAAACTTGGACCATGACTCGCAACATTCAGAATTGGTACTCGTGCTTAATTTTTCTTTATCAATTCTACTTTTTTCTCTCTTTCTCTCAAGACAGGTTTTTGGGATAGTTGCTTATATAAATGATATTGAAATGATATAATTTTATTCTGATAATTACTGACATGTCACAGTATCAGAGTTGAGTGTGATTGCCCCCAAATTGTAAATTACTTGAAAATTTTAATTCTTTTATTTGCTTAAGAAAATGGAAGAAAATCAAAACAGAGGAAAACCCTGTAAATGAATTTAAAGATCACTGTAGTTCCTTCAGGCTACAAAATTCCACTGCATGTACATAGGATGTGAGGATTCTACCTTTCATTCCAGACTGCTGGCCAACTGAAACACTTTCTATGTTCAAACAAGGCCATTGGAGCAGAGCTTGGCTTAGTCTGCTAAGAAAACCTGACACAGTCACCTAAATGCGCTTACGATCTTTTGCACAAGGGGTTTATCAACTGCATTACACTTTTAAACAGGACACAGGGTCAGAATTTGGGGGTCTTACTTTCAAAGATGGAATTAGCATAGATTTAGAAAACATTTCCATTATTCCTTCAGTTATTTGGATCCTTGACCCTTAATTATGGTTTTTTTAAATTTATCATAGAGAATTTATCTTGTTGCAGAGATGTTGACTATGGGTTTTTGCCCTGAAATATAAAACATGCACAAAATATTGCAAGTAGAAATTAAAAATCTTACATGCTTTATGATAACAAGTACAGAAGGTGCAATATAGATACGGCAGTAAAGATGTTAAAGCAATGCACAATTCGAAGATTCTGATGTAAACACTATAGAGGAGTTACACAAAAACCATACTAAATTTATTTTCTTGGGACTTTGGTCATTGGTGTTGTAAAATGTTTTCTTTTTTAATTCTTGTGAGGTACTAGTAACACCTCATGAAATCTGCTCCTTTTTATGTTCAATACATCTCTCTCTCTCTTTCTCTCTCTCTGTCACACACACACACTCACACACACACACACTCACTCTCACACATAGAGTCAAAGTCAATGGCAGTGGGTGGTTTATGTCAGGGCTGGTTTTGACGCTCCCCTCACAGAATAAGATAAATGTAAGTGATGAAGAGCTCCTGGGGTTGCCTGAACTCATTTTGTATTCAACACTTTGCCTGGCCCCTTTCTCATCTCTTTCTCCCTCTCTTTGTATGTTCAAGCCTACTTGAGTTTCTTTTTTCTTTTGTAGAACTTGGTTCTTTTGATGTGTTTCAGGGCACGCCCTGCGGCAGAAAGAACTTCCCAGGAATCGGAAACATAAGCATACAGGTCTGAAACAGCTACTGTACAATAGACAGAAAGCTCCAGGCCTGGATGCTGGATTCTCTGTCTCCCTCAAAACACCAAAATATGTAGGAGGGGGCACACATGCAGTATATTCTACATACAGGATTTTAAAGGGATATATGCTATATCATTTAATTGCAGAGTAGGGACTGGGTAAGATTTTTAACGTGGGTTGAACCCCTTATAGTAATTTAACCTGAGATGTGTCTGTATGCATTTTTATATTGATTAGTTTAACCAAATTTCCCCCATAATTATTAGTGAAGTTGTTTCTGTTTTACTGTTAGTATGACATCAACATATCTGAGATTTTCAATAACGCATGGTGTTTAGCTATTTTATTTCTCATTACTTTCCATTAAAAATGTGAGAAAGTGCAGTGCTTTAACTATTTACTTTTTTATGAAGTTGAAAGAAATGCTGTTGTAAGTATTGTAAAACTACTGTTAGAAGGCGCTATTTACATTATTAATAGAAAGTCTACATAGAAGGAGGAGTTAATTATTTTATACCCAATATCAGTAAATCCATTTGTGTAAATTAAAAATATTTAATAAAATAGTGTTATATTTTATTTAGAAGTCTCTGTTTACTCACATATCATACTTTATGTGACAAATCTTTCAGGACTATGTCATTGAATTAGAACTTGGAACTGAAAATAAAAAAAGAAAATAAGAAAAAACAGTGCAGTTTGTTTACACATACACAAACTTATTCACCTTAAAACTTTCAAATTAAACTCAATTTTAAATAATAGTTAAATTTAACTTTTGCTCAGGTCTCTAAAATACACCTTTTATTTTAAAAACTAAACTGAAAAGGGAAACTTAACTAGAAATTTGGTAATTATCTGGTTTGTTTAATTGGTTGGGAAAATCAATCTATATAAATTAGATTAATTGCTTACTTTCATATAAACAATTGAGTTCACTCTCATGCAGGTATATTACCAAGCTTACTGAAAAAATAATTTGTTACTAGCTAAATAATAGATCTGGGAAAAAATAGAAATTTGACCAACAAACGATTATTTTCAATTAAATTTGATTCAGTTTATTAGTTGTATTGAGCACTAATTACGTTTTTGTGCTAATGACATTACCTATTAACTGCTAGGAAAATAATTAGCAGTAAGATTGAATTCATTCAGTGTTTTCCAGCATATTTTATGCCTAGGTGCAAATAAGCCAGCTAATTGCCAGAATTCCTTTTAACGTTGGTGTCTATATCTACAATTTAAAAGAAAGAAAATTGATTCAATTATTCAAATATTGGCTAAATACATATTTTAACAGTAGTAGTAATTATTTAACAAACTGGGAATAATTATAAAATAACTTTCATCACTATAATGTCTCTTAAATTTCTTCTATATGTATCCAGGTTACTATTTATAACTACCCATGCAAGTATCTAAGAAAAACATAAAAACTTTTTGATAACAGTGAAAGTTAAGGATTCATGATACCCATTAAAATGCTATCTGGGACATTTAATGGGGGCCTTTTTATTTAAATAAGAACCAAATCTTTAATACAATACAAATACATGAGTAGAAAAGAAGTATTTCTGTCTCTCTGATGCAACATAAACTAATCCTGTTTGTTTCCTCAATGCTACTTACATCTCTAGAAATTGGGTGTTTCCAAATTGTTCGATCCAAACTTGATAAGATACGTGTCAGACATTGCAACACTTTTCAGCTTTATGGCAGTGGCTGCCCAGAAAGGGTCATATCATTTTCCCATCCTCATTTGTAAATGTCAGTGAAAGCCACAGTTCTGAAGAAGCAATGCACAGAATCTCCTCGTTTACACAGGATTGCTGCTATCACACTACATCGTGCTGATTGTCATATCATATATTTTACTTGTGCTAGAAAACTTCCCTTGCTATGGTTACCATTGTTTCCTACCTCTTTCCTGTGAGGCGTTATCGTCAACCTATAACATTACATAGGAATTTGGTAGGTTAGGTATTAGACCAACTCCTACTCTACATATTAATCCAAGCCCAGGAAACATAGGAGCTTTCATTTTTAAAAATATGCAACATTTAAGAGAAGTTCAGTCTTTTAAATGTTTTGATGCATTCTAGACCTAGCGATGTTTTCATTTATTTGATTCATGAATAAAATAAGATTTCCTTAGTGTCTCACTGAGAATTATTGTAGTCATATTTATAGAACTCAGTAAGGAAAACAGACACCTATGAATTAATTCAAATATGTTTCTTTTTAAACAAAAACAAAACATAGCAATTTGATTAGAAATTAGTTGAGTGAATTCAATTGGATTTTGAATTAAACTTTTAATTACATAAAGAAACAAAGGATATACTTGAGATATCACATCTAGCTAAATCATACTAATTGATTATCTTTACTGATTAAATATACCAGATAACCACATAGTCTCTATTTCACTGACTGGAATTGTTCAATAATGTAATTATTCAAATTTTAGTTATTAGCTAGCTTCCAAAATTTTTATTTCTATTTATTTTAAAAATCAGTAGTCACTTGGCTCAATTTAACATTTTCTGTTCTTTTCTTTTGATTCCCTCCCCTCAAATATGCCTATGTAGATATAATCTAAAGATTTTTGTTAAAAAAAAAAAAGGGGCTGCAGTTCTGTAGTTTCCCCTTGAGCATATGACCAAGTTTTAGGGACTTTAGGGAGTATCTATTCCAAATCTCTCATTTTACAAAAGAAGCAGTCTTGGAGAGTTTTTAATATTTGTCACTCAAATCTAGGAACATAGTAGGCCCTCAGTAAAGATGTGTTGACTGCTGAAAGAATCAATTTAGAGTCACATAAATAAATACAATACCCATGGTACTTAACAGTGCATTGCAATGACTTACTTATAGTAAACTTTTATAAATACGATTTCTAGCCACAATAATACTGAGGCATAAATTATTAATAGATCCTATTAACTGTAGAAGCTATTTAACATGTGAAGTAACTGAGGTTGAGGGTCTTTAAATGGTTTGCCCAAGATCAGACCGCTAAGCAGTGGAAGAGCTGAGATCGGAGCTCCTGTTCTCTGAGCCTCAGTGAGTAACCACTCTGCCATATTGCCTACCCCCTGCTTTTTTCTCTGTATTGTTTTTCTCCATTCTTGGAATGTACAAGACAGGAACTGGTGTTATGTATCTTTGTAAGCCTAGCGTGCTGCATAATAAGAGCACTCAACCAATGGTTGCCACATAACAAACCCAGGGCTCTGGCCTCCTGGTCCAGTTCTCTTTCAGCCACACCATGATCCATTCTGAGGGTGGGGAGAGGCATTGGAAAGGTAGAGAAAGACTGAAATCTCTAAAGCATAGAACTGCTTTAAATCACTTAAACTAGTAAAGTTTATTCTGTGTTGTCAATAACACATAAGAGCACTTCTGCTTCTTAGATATGAATTTAAAAGGACAGATTTTTTAAGCAGTTTCTGGATGCACCTGGTACATATGTATTTAATATGATGTGCATAAATGCATGCCCTACTCACTTATGTGGATTTAAACATGACTTGGGGAATCCGATCATAGTCATTCCCAAGGTTTTCATTCACCTTTCCCTCCAACCAGGTTTGTGCCAAGATCCTGGGTTCCTAAACACAGTCATCTTGTCTAGGCGGCCCCTAAGGACATGGGTCCACACTTGTTATCTAGTAAGATGCTTATTGTCCTAGGCTGAAGGGAGAGTCTCTTCAGGTCTAATGGCTTTGCTATTTCTGATCATGTTTTGGAAATAAGATTATTTGGAAAGACTGTGATCCTACACCACAGAGCCTCCCCTCCCCTCTGAGCTCCTGTGACATTTACAAGTTTCCCTTTTATTGACAGCACAATCTCCACAACCCATTGACTCCTGCTCCTCTTTTTATTTTTTATTTTTTTTCTTCTTGAGAAGGAATTTCACTCCTGTCGCCCAGGCTGGATTGCGATGGTGCGATCTCGGCTCACTGCAACATCTGCCTCTCAAGTTCAAGCAATTCTCCTGCCTCAGCCTCCCAAGTAGCTGGGAGTACAGGTGCATGCCACCATGCCTGGCTAATTTTTGTATTTTTAGTAGAGACGGGGTTTTGACATGTTGGTCAGGCTGGTCTGGAACTCCTGACCTCAGGTGATCCACCTGGCTCGGCCTCCCAAAGTACTGGGATTACAGGTGTGAGCCACCACACCTGGCCTTGCTCCTCTTTTTTTTTTTTTTTTTTTCATCCTGGGGAAAACTTTTCTCCTTCTTCTCTCTTAATATCTTTCGAATAAGTCTCTGGTATGTCTGCCTCTCCAGAGCTAACATTCTCTCTCTGATTAAGTTTTTACCAAAGACAGGAAAAGTAGCTGATGAGTCTGCTTTCCCCTCTGCAAAGTCTCCCAGGCAAAGAGACACACAGGGCCTTGACTCTGAGCTTGGAGGAGGGGAGGAAAGGAGGGAAAAATGCTGAAGTAGAACACAAATTGATATTTTAAAATTATCCTACCACAAATGCTTTTTGAGTAAATGCGTGAGTGGTTCTGACACCAGCCACCATCATGATGAAATTATAATTGTAAATTTGCAGGCACCTTCCTCTGTATCTTTCCAAGGGCAAATCACTTCAGCATCTCTCCATTAATAGCTATTCAGACACATTTTTCTGCAGAACCTCTAGAAAGTTAGCTTACAGTTAGAAGCTCAAGCACATCGCAGGTTCTCTGTACTGCAGGAACTCATTTGAGCTTCTAGAAAAAGAAGTTTTATTCAAAAACATGTATTAGAAATAGGAATTTCCTTATAAAACCTCAAAAAATAGCATCTATTTTGACATGTAAGTGGAATTTTAACACTATTACAGTAATACAGCCATGTTTCACATAATGACATTTTGGTCAATGATGGACCGCATATACAATGGTGGTCCTGTAAGATTATAATACCACATTTTTGCTGAGCCTTTTCTATGTTTAGATTCACAAATACTTGCCATTTTGTCAACATTCAATCAGTAACATGCTGTAGGGTTTGTAGCCTAGAGCAATCGGCTATACCTCACATCGTAGGTGTGTAGTAGGCTATACCATCTAGGTTTGGGTAAGTACACCCTATGATGTTTACAAAACTGTGAAATGACCTAACAATATATTTCTGAGAACGTACCCCATTGTTAAATGATGCATGACTGTACATTAAATTGGATAGCTTAACACTCTTTACAAGTACGTTCCCATGACTGGCTGGGTGCAGTGGCTTACTTGATCCCAGCACTCTGGGAGGCCAAGGCAGGTAGATCACTTGAGGTCAGCAGTTTGAGACCAGCCTGGCCAACATGGTGAAACCCATCTCTACTAAAAATAATATTAATAAAAAATATCCAGGTGTGGTGGCACATGCCCGTAATCCCAGTTACTTGGGAGGCTGAGGCAGGAGAATCACCTGAACTCGGGAGGTGGAGGTTGCAGTGAGCCGAGATAGCGCCACGGCACTCTAGCCTGGGCGACAGAGCAAGACTCCGTCTCAAAAAACAAACAAACAAACAAACAAAAGAAGTACATTTCCATGACTGGTTCCTTCTGTGCCCTGTAATCTCAGATCAAGTATTACTGCTCCAGAGACTCCTTTTCTGACCACTCTACATAGATTCCCCTCTGCTTGTCTCCAACTTCATTTCCTTTGCAACCATTTCACTATCTGGAATTAGCTTCTGTGGTAGGCAGAATTCTAAGATGGCTTTCAAAATTCCCCCTGTGCTATATGAGTTTTATATAATCCTCCTTCTTTGCGTGTAGGGAAGACTTGTGACTCTAGTGGAGTATCAATCTTTGATTAGGTCACTAATCAGTCAACTTTGAGTTAATCAGAAGCTAGATGATGGTGGTGGGTCTGACCTAATCAAATAGTCCCTTCAAAGGGACTGGGCCCTTCCAGAAGTCAAAGACATTTAAAGCCTGGGAGGGCATCTGGAAATGGCCACCTGGGGAGCTGTGGGCAACCTTAAGAGCTGAGTGGGCCTCAGGTCAATAGCCAGTAAGAGAATAGGGGCCTCTGTCCTGTCAGTGCAAGGAACTGAATTCTTCCAGCAACCATGTGAACTTGGAAGAGAACTCCGGGCTCCAGAAAGGCGGCTCAGCCAACACCTTGCCTTAAGCCTTGTGGGTTGCTGAGTAGAGAAGAAACTTGGATTCTTCCACACGCTCCTCAATGCTTTCCCCAACTAGCTGCAGTACATTTACTGCCTCATACTAAGCTTAGAAAGTCAAAACAATCTACCTTTGGTTTTCACATGAACCACTGCTGATAATATAATTGCATTTAAGACCTGTAGCATTATACACATATTCCTGTGTAAATAACGTTGGGATTAATCCCGTAATTTGGGATTAATAACATTTACAGAAGTTAGGAAGAATCCTATACTTGCTCACCTGTTTACAAGAGTGGTAATAAAATAATCTATTAAAGAAATACAATAATTTTAACTAAAAAATTATACCAAGCAATAAAGGTAAATTTGAAATGTTGTATTTCAATAAATTTATTTATACTTATTTTAAAAAGTACCAAGCTTAAGTTTAAATTGAAGGACCATGTTCTTTAGCAAAATATACACTACTGCCTTTCTGTTTATTGATTCTTTCTCTTGTAATTTTTCACTTAATGGAAATCTGTCATTAAGGTGGAAATTAAGTAAAGGTATATGATTCCTTTTTAAAATAATATATAACATATATATAATACACACTTACATAGTCTTTTTCTTCATGATGCTTCTATAAGTCTTTTTGCCTTATTGTGATTTCCGAAAGTATTTTCCTTTAAAGATTTCTGTTGGTTTTGAATTTTTTCTACCTGTTATAGTCACACTACTATATACTATAGTAATAATGTATTATGAAAAGAAATTATTTTTGTGCTACTGTTCAAAATATTATATCTGAGATTAAATATATCATAACTATGATTCTGCTCATTGTATCTCTTAGTTTTTTGTCTTTATGCTAAAATATCTTCTTATGTGAAAAAGTAGGTTATTGATATTTTAAACTCAATGTGAAACTTAGTCATCAATTTTGATTTACCAGACCATTACAGTTTGTTTTCTAAAGTAAATAAGGTTACAGTAATAAGTACTTCATGGGAGCACTTAAAGATGATACATTGGGGAATGTAAAAATTATTAGCTCTTCTCATCTGCCTCTCACAATCTTTTCATCCTGAAGCTTTCTCCTGAGTCTTCCATTCATGAAGAATATCCTAGTAGAACAACAGATGCAAGGAATTGTGAGGAGAGAAGGGGAGTGGGGAGAAAAATGGAAGAAGAAACTGGTTAAGCACAGTTTATTTCTGAGGGGAATAATGTTCCTTAATTTAAGCTGCATTATGCAAAACAAAACAAAAATTATCTGCAAGTTGGCAAACCCTGCCAAAGTGCAACAGAAGTGAGAAACTGAGTTAGCAGGCATCAGATTTGAGAAAGGCTCGCCGAGACGCTTTGAAGAAAGCAAGCTGCACGACCCCCATCCTCGGGCATAAATAAACTCCAAACAGACTCATTGGCCATGAAGGATGAGATGTGGAGGTGCCGTGGCGCCTGGGTCTCTGCCTCTCCACGGCTCCTTTCCCTAAGTCGTTCTGGTGGGTTTTTGTGTCCCAAAGTTGTCCCTATGCAAACAACAGGTTGAATATTGTAGGTGTGGGTTATTAAAGTGTCCCTGGGACAATGGCAGTCTGTGTCCCATTTGTAACGCTTGGATTAATCTTTGGAAAGTGCACACAAAATGTGACATGATGTTGGCTTCAAACATTATTCAGTCTGCATAGCAGCAAATCCTGCCCTGTCTCCCTGGAAATAAAACTCCACAGACGTATCACTGCCATCTAAAAGGAACCTATCATTTATGCTCAAGATTAGGGACACCCTGATAGAATTGTTAGGAGTTTGATTTTATAGTTTGAAGAAGCACTCACAATGGAAACAAATTATACTCTAACATCTCATTCACAGATTCCCTAAAGAAAGTCAGTAATCAGGTAAATCATATTCTTTTTTTTTTTCTGCAGATGGGAGAAATAAGAAAGGCTTTATCTTTTTAAGACAATTCCACATTAGTTTAGGATTATAACCCAGAACTGACCCCTGAAAAGAGGGAAGATTCTTGGCATTTCACCCTTTTTAATCTCATTTTTCCTTTTTGATTTTAAAGGTTCTGGAGGAGCACTAAGATGTGAAAACTGGATGAGAAAAACATGCCAAGAAGAGAGAGCGTTCATCATATTTTCTGTTTGCATACGTCCTTGGTGCTTCTGAAGCTTTGAGGCTTAGCTTCCCCTCATTGTACACAGGAAAATTCTTCTTGACTTATGTGTGTTGTTCACAAAAGTACTAAGTAGCATCATGGAATTTGAGAAGGTGTTTTCTCAAATCATTTGTTTTTGAGTGTATCTCAATATTACAATTTCAGAAGACAATTAGAACTAGGATAATAGAAATATAGAGAGAATGCATGTTAAATTACAGACAAGCATCAATGATGGTTGAAATTCCCATAGAACCAAGTTGGAAAATATGATCTGTCGTTTAAGACCAATTCCACACATAGGAGGAATTGGAAGTTGCCTAACAAAACAGATTTAGGCACAAAAGTCAGGGCATTGTTCTAGAACAATGGTCTTTAAAGTGTGCTATAGATCAATGTTTCTACGTTCATTATCAGAATCTAATTACTCTGAGTGTGATGTTTTTCTTTAATCTCTTAGGGAAGGAGGGCATCTTCAAAGCCTGCTAGGTGTGGCTTCTTTTAAATTCTGTAGTATAGACATTTTCTTACACAGCTTTTGTATGTGGATCCATCGAAACACCAAAAATAAACTGAATGCTTAGTCCTTGGTCTGAAACAGTCATCCATTTTTCTAATTTCTTGCCTTTTAATAAGTAAATTTTATGAATTTTAAGTTATACATTTATATTTCAAATACTGCTTTAATTTGTTTGGCATAGTGGGATCGAGCATAAGGTTTTATTTAGAAAACAATACAGTTTCCATTGAAAAATAGGTTAAAAAGATACTTATAAAGGACTATGGCTAAACTGCATGTACATTGTTTCACAGTTTAACTAGAAGAGGTGGGAAAAATCTGTGGAACCTGACGTCCTACCTGGAGCAGTGGATGTGGCAGTGGGTAAAGGAATAGGTGGGACCTCCAGCTGGCACTCACAAACCACCATGAATCGTCCTCTCCTCCCCTCCATCATCAATCAGAACAACCCGGGTGAGACTGAGGTTTCACCATGGATCACAAATGCCCTTGTTGTATAGACTCTAAAATTGCACATGGCCTCTTTCTGATGTGTTCTCTTTCTTGGACTTCATTTTTCACCTGCCATATGTCTATTTGGACCTGATGTTCCAATAGTTGCATTGATTTGTGTTATCCTGACATTCACTTTATTCAGAATTAAAAGTGGGGTGAAAGGGGTGTGGTAGGGTTCCCAGCATGATTTTTGTTCTGGGTCAGCCAAAGGTGAAGGAGAAGCAAAACTGAGTTAGGCCAATGCAAAATTGGCCTAATGTAGGTGAGGAAGAAAATGGTCAATTCATAATTTTGCATTGGCCTAACTCAGTTTTCAGTTTTCATTTTGCGGGTGTAGGTCAGGTAAAACCCAGCCTTCCAAGAAGAAAGTGGCTTAGTGAGATGAACAGAGCACATAAGAGAGGGCTAGGTGTGGGGGAGAATTAAAGGTACAGATGTGTATGTTGCCAAACTAGCCTCATAGCACCACTTTCAGTAGGAACAGGCATTCTCACCAAAATTGGTGAAAGGGTTAGAGAGGGAAGTGGGATTAGAATTGAGTTAACTTTTGCTGACAAAAGTCTTTGTTTTCTGATGATTTGGGCAGCAGGTTGGGGCTTGGAGGTGTCATAAGACTTTATTTAGAAATTATGAATATATGAAAATAATATGGACAAAATATTTCCATTTCTTTTCATTTTTATTTTTATGAACTAAGAAAACAACAGACACAAAATACCACCATCTACACTCAACCCTTTTGAAAGTACACTGTAAATCATCTATATTTACAAGTTTCAGATACATTCTTTTACAAATAGTAAACATTAAAACAACCTAAAGGGCTTAAATGATGGGCTTATTCATCGTTAAAGGGAAGAATAAAGTCTATTTAAAATACTTTATTTTTCAAAAGAGGGCTGAGACTTTTCACACAATGCTGTTTGCTCACAGAAAACAGAATTTAAAGCTAAACTCTCAACAAATGATACCACAGCGCCACCATCTGGCTCTACAAAAGACAGCAGGGAGTCAGTCTGTACTAGAGGAGGAGGCCCGTGTTTTCTTTCCTGGTGAGCATTTGGAGAAACAAGAAGGGGACTCTCAGTGTGACTCTGTAATTGTCACCACTTTGGCTAACATTCAGGGTGCAAGGAACTGCCTCTATTTCTTTTTCTGTTTCTATTTTAATTTGAAAAACAAACACATTTTTAGTGGATAAAACCTTTAAAAATGAAAATCTCCTTAAAGTTAGTCTTTCCTTTTTTTTTGGACAACAAATATAAAGACCGTTTTTAGTCTGAAGAGTTTGTAATTTTAGTGGTGGTTTGGTAGAGCTTCTCTAAATAGACCTGCCTTACTAATTTTCAACTTGCCTTGGATATGACCTTTTTATAATGTTGCTGAAGTTTCCTTAAGTTCTTAAAGTTCTAGACATATTTAAGATCAAAACATATTCCAATACATAATCAGAACAATTTTGGCCCTGACACGAGGTGGTGCATATTTAAAAGTCTGCTTTTAAATGCAGTGGAATACAATGTATACTTCCAAAATCTGAATGTCTTAAAGGTTTTTTTTTATTTTATATTGCAGGTTTACAAGATTGCACAAAATTGCTAAATAACAGGGTGACTAACACATATGTTTTCATTTGTACATCTCTCTAAGAAAGATCTTTTAGAACTGGATTGGAAGGTAAAATGTTAGCTTTTATTGTATTTTACACTCTTGCAGCATCAATCTTTAATTACCACTTGCATTATATTAAACAGAAATTTGTACAGAATAATAACGGTAGAACACTATTTTGAGCCTACTGTGAACAAAGAACTGTGCTAAGTGTTTTACGTCTATTAAAGCATTAAATCCTTTCAGATATGATGAGAAACGTTCTATTATTACTTCTGTTTTGTGGGAGAGGAAAATGAAACACAGAGACGTTCAGTAACTTGCCTAGGGTAGCACAGCTGACAAATGGCAGATGTGAACCCTGGCTTTTAGACTCTAATTTCTTTGGGCTGCCACTAACTTTGTTCTCTCAGGATCTTCTAAAAACATTTAACATTGTATGTTCTTTCATATTATTATGTTTTCTCTTTTTACATGAACATGTTTGTCAAAAGATTAGTTTTTAAAAATGTTATTTTAAATATTTCAATAATTTTATAGTTAAGATCATGCCACTGCACTGCAGCCTGGCGACAGAGCAAGACTCTGTCTCACAAAAAAAAAAAAATTATAGTTAAATAACATTTTTTGAGGGCTAACCTAAAGAAGCAACCATTAGGTATACCTTTTCCCTTCCTTTGGAATAATGCATTATGTGTTTAAAATAAATGACTTGGAAGTGAACTTCTGGAAATGAACTTTTTGTAAGTCCAAGACTGCTTTTATTTTACGCTATTTTCTATTTTAGATTCTAAGTAATCATTGTAGATATATTGAATTAGTCATGCTCATTTTATTGTAACGTGTCCTAAAAAGTTATTAAGAAAAATGTTTATATTTTGGCTATGTACAGAGAAACTCTTCAGTTTTTTTATTGCATCTGTTAGAATGCTTGGAATTTTCTGAAATTCTCTCTAGGGCAGTGGTCCCCAGGCTTTTTGGCACCAGGGACAGGTTTTGTGGAAGACAATTTTTCCTCCACGGATGGGCACGGGGTAGGGGTGGGGTGGGGGTGACAGATGGGGTGGGAGGAGGTGAAGTGGGGGGAGGGGGATGGTTTTGGGATGAAACTGTTCCACCTCAGATCATCAGACATGAGATTCTCCTAAGGAGTGCCCAACCTAGATCCCTCACATGTGCAGTTCACAATAGGGTCACACTCCTATGAGAATCTAATGCTGATCTGACAAAAGGCGGAGCTCAGGCAGTGCTCACTTACCCCCATTCACTTCTTGCTGTGCAGCCCAGTTCCTAACAGGCCATGGATTGGTACTGGCCCATGGCCCGGGGATTGGGGACTCCTGCTCTAGAGGTTCATATATTTCTTAAATTTATACTCTATCAATTTTAGGGAGTATGTGAATATTTAAATCTTATGTAACAACTAGCCTCCGAAACTACTCATAAACTGATCTTGAATTTTCTTTCAAAATTGAAAAATGTTTGATATGTCCCATATTATTCTGATGAGAATAGAAAAATATGAGGCCATTTGGAAGTTTTACTGTAAGTTGGGTCAAATGCTTTATGGGGAATAAAAAGGAAAAGTGTGGCACCAAAAATATTAGAAGAATGTACTTTTTTGTGCTGTATGCTGGATTGGAAAATTGATTTTGACCAAGATTATGCTGGAGTCACTGGCTAAGTTACCATTTGGCATATTAGGTAATAACAAGTATTCTATGAATTGAAGTTGTCACTGGGACATTAACAATTGCTTTACTTAAACAAAAACACCTAATTAGTAACTGATGTGGAGCTCAGACATTGTCTTCAATATTTCTAAGTATTTTTAGACAAGATATGACATTTATAACAGTTCTACTTATTTCTATTCCTTTTAAATTTCACAATTGCTAATTTAGGTGCAATTCAAATGTTTAATATAGCAATTAAAATAATTTATATGGCTATCTGATGAAAATGTGAATTATAAAACACATAATATCACTGTGTTTAGGTCATTTATCTAAGCTTTTGTATTTGTTGACTCTGATTTTCACCAGTATTACTATTATTCATGTGTTTTAGCTATCACTTTGCAGCTGGGATGGATATGAAGAAAAGAGAGATTGTGAGGAGAAAAGAGATTATTTCTCTGTTCCTTAAAGACACAGATACAGGATAATAAAAAAATGATTTGTTGTTCCATTGTGTTGTCAAGGAGTAGTTTGCTTCAGGACTCCTCAAGAGGTAGGACTGTTTCTATGCAGAGCCACCACAAGAGGGCTTAAATGTGATCATTTTTCAACAGAAGAACCAACAGAAAACAAAAGTTGGTTTTCTGCTGTGTATGTGGTACACTTCATGTAGGTGCAGTGATATTGATGAAGTGCTGCAATAAAGATATTCCTTATGGAAATATTTTTTGACAGGTTAAGTTGTGATAGTTATTCTACCGCATAGGAGACCCTTAGATTAATTACCCTTGAACGTCCTTTAGATCATATAATTTGGTTACTCAACATTATATTGCCCATTGAATAACTTCCCATCTTGTTAACCTGAGATTTTTGTTATCTTTTTTCTTCCAGTTTTGTTAAGGTGTAATTTACAAAAATTGCATTACACATATGCATATGGTATACAATGTCATGTTTATATATATATATGTACATATGTGTGTGTATATATATACTCACATTGTGAAATTATTAGATTAAGCTAATTAAGATATTCATACTTATCTTTTTTGTATGTATGTGTTGAGAACTGAAACTCTTATTATCTGCTTATCCTGAGACTCCAATTCTCAATGTTTTGCCAAAACCTAGGCTTTACGTTTTCTTTTCTTTTTTTTTTGAGCGGAGTCTCGCTCTGTCACCCTGGCTGGAGTGCAATGGTGTGATCTCGGCTCACTGCAACCTCCGCCTCCCGGGTTCAAGCTATTCTCCTGTCTCAGCCTCCCGAGTAGCTGGGATTACAGGTGCCTGCCACCATGCCTGGCTAATATTTTGTATTTTTAGTAGAGACGGGGTTTCGCCATGTTGAGCAGGCTGGTCTTGAACTCCTGACCTCAGGTGATCCACCCGCCTCGGCCTCCTAAAGTGCTGGGATTACAGACGTGAGCCACCGCGCCCAGCCTTAGGCGTTACATTGTCAATGTCTTGCTTAGTATGTCCACCTGGATATTTTACCTTCATCTCAATTATGATGTTTCCAAAGTCAAATACCATTTTTCACTCCACATACAAAATATTTTCCCTGAGTCTATTCGTCCAGACATCCTACCTTGAATCTCTGTTATGATGTCAGAGTCTTCTTTTCCTTTCTATAGCTAAGCCAGTAATTAGTAAATACATGAATGTATTTCCACTTGAACTTGACCGCACCATAATGGTCATTGTTAATCAATCGTTCCATTCAATAATTCAACAAGCAGTAATTCAATGACCCTCATATACCAGACACTGTCTTAAGCACTGAAGAAAGAGTAATAAACAAGACTGCGAAACTCCTCCCCTCAATTTTCTTTCATTATGGTGGAAGGAGAAAGACAATGACCAGTAGGTAAATTATATAGTATGGTAGAAGGTGTCCTGTGCTATGAAAGATAACGGAGCCATGTAAGGGTAAATGGGGGATGTTAGGGGAAAGGATCTCAACTTTAAACAGGGTGGTTAGAGTGGACCTCATATCCTGAATTTTGATCTCATAATTCTTTTTAATGCTGTGCTTTAGACAGAACCTTGCTTATTATCCTTGATCTAAGCAATCACCAAATCTGTTGATTTTCTCCCAATGTGCTTTTTATTTCATTTCTACTACTATTGGCCTTATTCAGCCTGTATTTCTTCATGCTTAGATTATTACAAAGCCTGCTAACTTGACTCTATGCCTCTATGGTAGTCAAGTCAGATGCTTAACAAAACTGTTTTGATGTGGCCATGTGACAACCAATGGATGTGTGCAGAAGTGATGTGCACTACTTCCGGGTCAGGTTCATTAAAACTCCCACAATCCTCCATGTTCTCTCTTTACCTCATCTGCCAACTGGATGCAGAAGACCCAGTGGAGGACTCCAAAGTCCTAGGGAATAACAGAGCAACTAGATAGAAGGAACCTGGGTTCTGAATCTATTAGATCAAGCCACTGAGATTTGTGGGGATGAGATGAAGCACAGTTTTCACACTCTAATCAAAATGGCCTCTCACTATACTTCATACACCATTGGGACACCCCGTTAAAATTGACTTTTGTTTAGTACCACTTTGAGTAGTCATTTTACTGCTTACTCTACAACTCTCTGTTAAATCCAAGTCTGTCTGCCCTTGGCTAACTAGAAGCTGCTGAGGATATTTGAAAAAAATGTGCAACTGTACAGATCAGGCCAAAATAATGTAATGACCTCTAACCTCAGCTGAGCCCTCAAAGCTGTACATCAGTTCTGCCATGTTGCTCTAGATAGCTTTTCTATTCTTTATTCTTCTTAAATTTCTGACCTCTCACTCTCACCAGTGATTTGCTTCCTCCATCTTGTAGAAAATAGAATCCAACATAATTCTCACTAAACATCAGGCAATTGAACCTAGAAATTTATTTGCATTCACATCCATACTTTTGCCTTTCATGCAGTTACAAAAAAAATGTCTCTCTTCTCTTACTGCAGAGGAATTGTACCCTGGATCTCATTCCTTTTTACCTTTTCAAAACCCTGCTTGTTACTGTATTCTCAAGCTTTGCCCTCTACTGGCTCCTTCATATTTGCATTTAAATGTGCTCAAGTGTCTCCTACGTTGGAAACAAACAAACACCCTCCTGGGATCCCATTTCTTCTAGGTTGAGCTCCTTTCCTGGCCTTCACCTCTCCTTCATCACCATATTCCTTGGGAGAGCAGTGTATGTGTCCTTCCACTTATTCTTCCAACAGCTGCAGTCTGGCTTTAGTCCACCATTCTGAACACTGTTCTCACCCGGGGCCTGAGGATCTATCTGTTGCTGGTTCTCATGGATATGCTTATTCCCTGAGTAACACTTGACAATATTGACCACTCCCTATTGAAATACTCTCTTCTCTTCACATCTGAGACCATTCACTGTTATAGTTTTCTTTCCAGATTTCTTTTAGCTAGTAAGTTTTTTCCATTTAACACACTCTTTTGTCCTTTGATCAAATGTTGATCCTCCACAGTGTTGGATGTCCAGAACTTACTTTGCGCTAAATAGACCCACATATTCCTTGGATGATTTTATTACCTTCCATGATGTCAATTACAAGCCCAGACCCAGACCCCATTCCCACTACAGCTCTCTCTAGTATCTTTCCACCTCTTTCCTTCCTTTCCACCTCTTTACTACTGGACTGGACTATTTCCTCTAGGTGGATTGCCACACGAGTTTCTGACTGGTCTGCCTCTCTTAGGTCTTTTCCCATTCCCGAAGTTTCTCCTGGGGCAGTGAGAGTGATTCTTTAAAATAGGAACATGATCAGGTCACCGCTTTAAAGTCTTCAATGGCTTCTTAGTGATGCCTGGAACACTACTTCTTAAAGAATTTGTATTAAATTCTTTATCACGGTTAATGAAGCATTACAAGGCCTGCTCCATACCTTCTTAAAAATTTTCTTGATATTTTCCTTTTATCAGCTTGACTTCTTTCAGTCCCTGGAACAAATCGTGCCCTCTGGCTTTAGGTCTTTGCCTATACTGGTCACATGATCTGAAAAACCTCTATTTCCTTTGCCTGGCTATTGGTCAATACTCCCTCAGTTCTAACTTGGAATCCCATTCTCTAGGGAGCTTTTCCTAGCCCTGGTCTGAGTGGCAAATCACCTTGCATTTTCATTACTACTTATTCCAATTTATTGTCATTGCCTGTTAAATTGTCTTTCTTCCCCAGTAGATTGCAAACACCGTCACATTTCCAATATTCACAGCTGTTCAAAAACAGAATCAATTGTAAAAGGTACGAAACTCAAACATTAGGTAGGTGGCTGGATGTCATATTATTGTTTGGTTGTCTTCTGTCCTGCTTTTCCTGGCCCATGTGTTCCAGCCAAACTATCTGATCTTTCTCAATACGCTTTGTGTTACCCTCCACGGTGACTTGGATGAGATCTTTCTCTTTGCCTAAAAAAAGTCTTTCTCTAGTCTATACCTGTGAAAATTGTACATTCTCTTTCAAGGCTCAGTTCCAAAACTGTCTTCTCTATGAAGATACTCTATTGCCTGTGAGAAGAGATCTTTCTGTTCTCTGAATTTTCAAAATACTCTGGACTATTTTAAGTACTTACATATAATTTTAAACTGTAGTTATAGCTGTATTTCTGTAAAAGCATACCTAGAAGAGCATCTTCTCTCCCTTCTTTCAGTTTCTGTAATACATTGTATCACTTTTATGGAACATATCATACTTTGCCTTATGTCACAGTTAGGTATATACAGGATATCTCTTCTGTAATAGCTTTGAGAGTCTTGCATGTCTGTATGTTCTGCGATACCGTGGTGTGTGTGTGTGTGTGTGTGTGTGTGTGTATAAAAAGGACTCTGAAAATATAAAATACAATTGTTGAATAAATCAACAAATTTTTTTTTTCCATCTTCTGTCTGTCTCCATAGGACTTCCTGATTCAAGCCAAAAGTCTTATTCTCTGGCTCCTACTTGTCAATGATACTTTCCTATTTCCTTTTTGTGCATTGCTTTTACAGTCTACATTCACATTTCCAATTGTCAAAATCCTTCCTCCTTGGCTCAAACGCTGCTTCTCTGTGAAGGGTGCCTTAGTGCTTCCTGCCAGAAGGAATCTCAGCTGAGGCGCTTGGTCATTAATTAGTGGGCCATAGAAATACCACAGAAAAAAAATAAATCATGGAGCAGCATGACCTGACAAGTAATTTAATAAGATCATCTAGTAAGATACGTAGATGGAATGTGAGCCTAAAAAGAGTGAAGCTTGGGAGACTTACTACAAGGCTTCCAGGTAGAGGCTAGCATGTGCTTAAACTTGTCTTGTAGCATTAGGGCTGGAAAAAGAGGACCAGGTACTAAAGCTTTATGCGAGTGGACTCAATAAGGGTTGGTTTTTTTTTTTTTTTTTTTTTTTTTTTTGAGACGGAGTCTCGCTCTGTCGCCCAGGCTGGAGTGCAGTGGCGGGATCTCGGCTCACTGCAAGCTCCGCCTCCCGGGTTCACGCCATTCTCCTGCCTCAGCCTCCCAAGTAGCTGGGACTACAGGCGCCCGCCACTACGCCTGGCTAATTTTTTGTATTTTTAGTAGAGACGGGGTTTCACCGTTTTAGCCGGGATGGTCTCGATCTCCTGACCTCGTGATCCGCCCACCTCGGCCTCCCAAAGTGCTGGGATTACAGGCGTGAGCCACCGCGCCCGGCCAAGGGTTGGTTTTTCTAAGGTTTTCATTAGAGGGACTCTAAGCAAGAGGGGAGAAGACTGGAAAGGTCACTAACACCACCATTAGCATAAATAAAGAATACAAGAGGGACATGAGTGGGTGTGCTGGTATTTGAGCAGTGTCTTCTGTAGATGCTAATCCGGCAGAGTATTTCTCTGAATCTGTTTGTGTTTTCTAAGCTCCTACAATGCTTCATCTGTATTCATCTTTTGTGAGTTTTTATTTACCATTTGTAGTTTCTGTATTACAAATATTTGTAGCTACTGAGGACTAGTCAATTTTTATGGATCCCATAGTGTACAAAGCCTCTTACATCAGTGAGGAATATAGAAGGACCATTTACCTCCATCTCGCCTTGATTCTGAAATAGCCCATTGAGGAGGAAAGCACATGGATTTCTGAGTTAGAGAGATGTGAGTTTGAATTCTCGCTTACTAATTGTGTGAACTCAACCAAATTACTTAACTTTCCAGAGTTTTACTTTTGTTTTGTTTTAATCTGCTAAATTAGTGTCAACAATAGCAAACTTACAGGGTTATTACGAGACTCAGGTGAAACACCTACATAGTGCCTAGCACTGAGCCTGGCACCTGGTCAGCATGCCTTCCCTCCCACGAGGACAAACATTGCAGCAGAAATTAGCGACTTGCTTGTTCAGATGAGAAGGGGTTAAACTTCCCTGCATATGAAATAATTCTTATTGAGGATATATGCCATATATTTTATTAATTGCAGTCCAGAAACATGTGCCTCTGCAAATTACTTTGAAAGTCTTACATTGTGTTGATATTTAGGGCAACAGGTGTACATAATTAGTGTGTGATTCTCTTTTATAAGATAGATTAGTTTGTGTGTGTGTGTGTGTGTGTGTGTGTGTGTATGATTCATGGTTTATATTTTAAAAGCAAGGCTGTGAGGCAAGAGTACATAGCAAAGAATTATAATCTCAAATAATTGGGAAATCAGGTTTTAACAGTTATTTTAAATTTATAAAAACCCGTATTGCTTATTTCTTGTTTTATATTTGATATACGATATTTTTTTCTTAGAATTGGGATATCAGCTTTGACCTCTGAAAAGTGGACCATGATTATGGCCTCAGTGTTGAAAGTTGGTTAGAGTCAGTAGACAAGATCCTGGACAAAAATCTAAGTCATCTTTCTAATGGCATCTGCTTGGTAAAAGCTAACCTTTTAAAGTGTTAGTGGAATTGGTGTCACAGGATTTGTGATGATGAGTATTTCAGACCTACCTCTTAGTCTCTTAGAGTACTCTTAACTGTGTTAGTGGATGCTTTCTGAACTCTCACGTTGAAGCAGACTCGGAACTAAAAGCATACAATTACAGGCAAACAAACACAGTTCATTCCATGGTTCTTTCATTTGATTTGTAGTGTCAAGTATATTGGCTTGAACATAGCAGGTATTTTTAATGTTTGGGCTAATTTTAGTTTGTTCGTTTTCTAAGACAAGGCTGTGTTTAGAAACATTTATTTTGGATTTCCATTCAGGTATGTCTGTCTGCTGCCTGGTTCTAGTGAGTCTAAATCACTAGAAGCCAAGGTCCTTAAGGACCTTGGAGACACTGGACCTATTTCAAGATAGCGATTTGAGTCACTGTCACCACATTGAAGGGCAGTTTGGTCAATTCTGAGTATTCGCCATGTGGGAAACATGATAAATTCTATGTGGGATAAAGGGATGAGGGTTCTTCTGTACTATTTTGAAGAACCAGCGGAGAACTACTTTTAATACAATCCAAAGTCAATGGAAGGAAGAGTAATCTAACAATCAAAGTTTGAATGCTATGATAGGCCTCAGAAAACATTTGACTTGAGATTTTGTTCATTTGTCAGTAATGTATTATCCAGAGGGTGAAAGAAATCTTAACTGGAAGTCAAATGCAGTCAGACCTCTGGATCTGTGGGTTTCACATCTATGGATTCAACCAACCTCAGATTGAAAATATTCAGAAAAACACTCTGTACTAAACATGTACAGACATTTTTCTTGTCATTATTCCCTAAACTGTACAGTATAACAACTGTTTACATAGCATTTACATTGTATTAGATGTTAGAAATAATATAGAGGTGATTTAAATTATACAGAAGAATTTGCATATGTTATATGCATATATTATAGACAAACACTATACCATTTTATATAAGGGTCTGGGCATCCTTGGATTCTGGTATCTGAGGGGGGTCCTGGAACCAACCCCCGACTGACACTGAGGGAACCAACCCCCCACTGACACTGAGGGACCCACTGCAAATGAAGAAATCAAAGCAAAGGTGCTGTAAGGGAAGCCCAGTGGGCCTCACCGCAGCCCCTCACCGCAGCCCCTCACCGCAGCCCAGTAGGCCTCACCGCAGCCCCTCACCGCAGCCCAGCAGGTCTCACCGCAGCCCCTCACCGCAGCCCAGTGGGCCTCACCGCAGCCCAGTGGCATCCCCATAAATCTTGAGCAAAACCCTTGGGAATCTGGGGAGCACAGTTTAAAAATTATGGACTCTAGATGATCCCTCAGTTCCCCATCACTTGTTAAAAATTCATCATTCATGCTCCCAATGAAAGAAAACAAATGATTCTCAATTCTATCCTTTCTTCCCCCAAGCCCTCTAATTCAAGGAAAAAGTAAAATTAACAAACTAGATATTCTGACTTTGCCACTTTTTGGGAAAATTATATCCATCTTTCTGGCATCTGAATTTGAGAAATCGATCATCTTTGACTTGTTTTCTCTTTTACACTCTATATTCAGTTAACCTTCAAGTTCTCTTGATTCTTCCTTCAATACCTATCTACGCTCTGTATCTTCTTTCTTTTCTAGATTACTTCAGAAGTTCAGCACATACCGAAATTATTGTCCAGCCCTTTTAATTGGCCTCTTTTTCTTCTTCATTTCATTTGATGAATTGCTACCAGTTTACTTTTTCTAAACTGCCCCTTTAAGAGCCTGTTTCTCCCTTGGTTAAAAATCTTCAGTGGTTTCCCCACTGCCACTGACGGAGGTTTTCACACTTTCCATGGTTGTGAGCCTCTGTGAGCGCCAGCCCAGCTTCAGTACCTCTCTGATGGTTCAAGGACCAGCAGCTGGCACTTCCATACCACTTTCCTATTGCACTCTACTTAAAATGGTAGCAAATATTTAGGACCAAAGGAGGGTGGGAAGGTGTCGGCAGTTATGATTCCAAGACTGTTTTATATCTGACTTTGTGATCAACCTGCTGGAACTAGTAAATGTCATTCTACTTTGTTCAAAACACTCCAGTGGTTTCCCAACCCATGCAGAATAAAATCCCAAATCTTCAGTGTCCTACAAAGCCTTGTAATGTGAGCCATTTGTTACCTCTTAGCGCCCTTCTCCTATCACTCATTCCAATCCAGCTGAATTGATCGTCTCGCTATTCTTTAGACATGCCCAGGACATTCTCACCTCAGAGCCTTTGTATTGGCTGTTCCCAAAGACTGGAATGCGTTTTCCCCAGACAGCAACATGGCTAACTCCCTCAGTCCATTTAAAGCTTCATTCAAATGCCAGCTAATCAGTCAGGCGTCCTTTGACCACCTTACTTAATATAGCAGATCCCCACTTCTGCTCTGGCCTTCTTGCTCCTTGTTCTTCTTTTGCTTTGTTTTCCTCCACAGCACTTACCACCTCCCAATAGACTAATCCTTCACTTACTTTCTGGCTTATTATCTGTCTCCCTCAGTTAACTGTGAACTCCATGAAGGCATGAATTTCTGTCTTGCTTACTGGTGTATCCCCAACACACAGAATAGTGTCTTGCACACAGCAGGGCCTGGGTAAACATATGTTGAATACGTGAATAAACAGGATGTAGTGTTCTCTCTTCAGCTCAGCCTCCAGGCATCCCGCAATCTCACTCACACTTTGCCTTTTGCTGCTCTCTGACACAAAGCCCATATTCCAGACATCGTGGTCTACTGTGCCTCTGAACATTCTTCCCAACGCTTGTCCTATGGTTGCACTGTAACCTCTGGTACAAAAGCATCCTTCTGACCTTTCCACATTCTTGGTGCTTAGGCTAATTTTCCACTTGTTCCATGCAGCCTATGTTATTCTTTTCCTCTTTTCATAGAGTATTTTTTCTATACCACTAATTTGACAAACATACTCTGCAACATGGTGTAATTTATATTCATGTCTTCTGATGTTATTTATATGATGAGTTTTTACTTCACTTTTCAAATGTTTATATTTTGTTTCTCCAACTTTGGAAGCTTTCTCAGGAGAAGCTGGGTGGCAGAGCTGCTCACAGGAAGAATTTCAGCCTAGTCATCCCCTCTCCCCGGCCACCATGAGGAAATGAGAGGATCAAAGCTTCAGTACACCAGAAGCACAGCTGGCCCAGGCACTTGCCTTGGTACATCAGTTAGGAGAACTCTGCCCTAGGGTACCGTGCTAATAGTAGGTGCTCAGAAAGTATTTGTTGGTGGACTGATTGATCTTATGTGATTGTATTTTTCCCAATATTCTCCCTGAAGCCTTGCTAAAGTTCCTGTATAGGTACTAAACTCATTAAAAAAAAAAAAAGGGAAAGAGACACAAAATGATTATTATGAAGTAGGAATCTAAAACTTCATTTAGTGATGCTGAGAGAGACCTAATTAAAAATATTCATGATTGGTGATTGAGCCATTGGACACATCAAAAACTTTGGAGGCTGTACATGTGAGAGGGGTTTTCATACATATGGTAATCAGTTTATGGTCATTTTTACTATGATCTTTCCATGGAGAAATCTGAGTGAGAAATAAGTTTAAAAATGTTTAGTCATGCAGAATTACAATCTGAGAGTCCCAATTATGTGTATATATTGCTGCACTGCATATTTTTAATTTTAACTCCTAATATGTTGATTTGGAAAGAATTGTACTCATTAAAAAAACATCATGTGTGAATAGAGTTTTGTATCACATACATCATGTCAACTATGTCAATCAGGTATGTTCAAAGCTTTTTTAAAAAACAGTGTCTAGAGAAGTACTTGAGCATGTTAATTATTCAGTTACTCTTTCTAGCACTAAAAAGTCAAATGATATAAGACTGGGCGTGGTGGCTCACGCCTGTAATCTCAGCACTTTGGGAGACTGAGAGGGGCAGATCATGTGAGGTCCGGGGTTCAAGACCAGCCTGCCCAACATGGTGAAACCCTGTCTCTATTAAAAATACCAAAAATTAGCTGAGCGTGGTGGCACATGCCTGTAGTCCTAGCTACTTGGGAGGCTGAGGCACGAGAATTGCCTGAGCCTAGGAGGCAAAGGTTCCAGGGAGCCGAGATCGTGCCACTGCATTCCAGCCTGGGTGACAGAGCGAGACTCTGTCTCAAAAAAAAAAAAAAAAAAAAAGCCAAATGAGATAAGCTGAACATATGGAACTTCTATTTTTCAGCTTAATTTTAGTGTGCTTTTATTTCTAGCAATAAATCTTATAGATAACTTTTGTAAACAGATATTAATAGAGGGTTAGCATTTAATTTTAAAGTCAACCTAATTTTGGAAAGGAATTAAATATTAACTATCAGATACTTTTTTACATAGTATGAAATAGATACTGATACCCTTGCCTCCAGGAAATAGCTGTGATCCTGAAAGCTTTAGATAACTTGAATTTTTGTAAATTGAATCTTATTTTATTACATATCAGAAGAACTAATTCTTAAAGGTCTCCTACTATGAATCTTTTGTGTAGCGAATATGCAAGCTGTATTTGTTTATTTTTCAAATTCAGGAAGTTATGGGTTATCTTTGCATATAGGTATCTATGTGTGTTTAAAAAATAATACTGATGTCCAATTTTTAAAAATTAAAAACAGCCACTTAAGTAGGCTACTTAATTCCTAAACTTTTTCAGTAGCAGCAATTTAATAATAAAATATAACAATTTAAAGCTTGCCTTCTACTCATATTTCAAAGCTTGTAGCTGGCAAAATATTTATTAAAAGCAATGTTTGTCATCCCTTCTCTGGTTCTGACACTGTATCATTCTTTGTTTTTGTGACATATGTTTCTCCTTGTAAAGCAGCTGTTAGGAAAGCTTAATTAGTTTTTAATTAATGAGAATTAATGTGCTGAAAATTTTGTGAGTTTTCAACCACATCATGAATAGTTTGAGACTGTTGAAATGTGTTGCTTACTCCAAGGTAGGAATGTATTGGGTTTCTCCAAAAGAAAACCAGGTCCTCCTTCCTCATGAAGGCTAGACAAGCTATGTCTATACTATGAGGTAGGTAATATGTTTGAATAACACAGCTAGTTTCTCTTCTTCATTCTGAAGAAATTCTAGGAACTATGATACAAAATTAGGCAAAAGATGTCACTGAGTCCTAAATTGTAGCAAGTCAAGATAGAGCTCTTAGATATGAAAAAAATTCTCAAATGTGAACAATTTTTGTTTTGTCATCAATGTTACATGGAAACAAAGCAAATGAATACTATTGACGACATAGGAATTTGAAAAATTCAGGTGAAGAAATGAGAGCAAGTTCCTTGATCTGTTTCTATCCCAGTGGTAGGCTGAATCATTATGTGCTTTAACTGTTCCATGCCTCTGTGCAGCTCTATAAAATGAAGCAAAACCATGAGGTTTCTAGTCTCCTGGAGGTATGTGTGGGTTGGAGGCTATCATCATGGTGGGCAGCCTGAAGGATACTTTACATTCATTGGGTTTATGGGCCACACTGCATCCTGTGTCTTAGATGACAGGAAAGGTAGCACGGAGTTTTAGTTGCAGTATGAAAAAGATCCTGAATAAGATTTACTATGTTTTGTCCTGTTGAGGCAAGTTGAAACATTGCAGAGCTTGAATTATCATGACTCATTAGATTTGCAGGGATAGAAAAGGAGTTGTTATGGTCTACATTATGCCGATGAGGACACCTAAGGGTAGGAGTCAGTCTCTGAATGGTATGCAAGTATCAATAAGGATGAAGGGTTAGATAGTAATTTTCTGTGGCTTATAGGAATTTTCACATTTTTGAAAATTTGGCTTCAGGATCTGGCATGTTGGTAAATTTCCAAGTCTTCTTTGGGGAGGTGGTCTGAACCAAGAAGACAGTTTCAATTGGTGCTTGAGAACTACTAAGATGAATTGGTCCAGTCAGTCACCCAACCAAGAAGACTGTGCTGGTTTGGGGTGACTCATTCTGTAACGTGGCCTCCGTATCCTGCATGTTGATATGGAGCCAGGAAAGAGATGAGTGTTGGAACACACCCAGACCCATTCCTAAACATTCATTTCTGCCATGCCCAGCTGTTTAGCACAATGGCTTTCAAAATAATAGGTTCTCTGTTAACACTAGTAGAATTGAATTACATCTATCAAATCTTCTATAAATTATAGCTTTATTCTCTGACTTTTCAGTGTCAGATAAGTAATTTCTACCTAGGGAAGCTCACATATGCTGCCTCATAAGAGGGTGTCTTCTAAAATATTTGTTGACAGAGTGTCTACCAAATTTCATTGAAATGATAATTATGGCCATAGTTGTTAATCATTTATTAATATTTGGTCATGAGGGTTGGCTATAAGATTTGTTTTTTGAAAGAAAAGTACTCTGGAAGGAAGCCAAATTTTAGTGAGTCCATTGTACTTTATCAGTCATCATCACATTTATATTTAAGGATAAAACCTATGTTTACCAGCACATAATCTCTTCTCTGCATGATTTACTATACTTATAATCTAGAATGTGTTTCACCATTGGAAAATTCTGATTATAAAATAGTAATAACTTGTTATTCAATTGTGTGTCTTAGAAGTATCATGCAGGGTAAATGGATCTTCCCATCTTTTATTTAAATTGATGAAGCAAAGTACCATTCGGTAAAGTCTATTTTTAAAAGTATTTATTCAGTTGATAGCCAATCCCAAACTAAAAGAGATGAAAAATAACATGATCACGAACATGACAAATTGCCTGTAGTTTAATGGTATGAGGAAGAAGGCAGTCTTACAACTTTAAGTATGTATGATTAAACCAAAGCCTGTGCATAAGTTCTGATGTGGTACAGTGATACCAGATATCTTAATGATTCACCAGTGGGGTAAATTGGACATTTGAATAGAATAAAAGTACTTGGATATAAGGTATTTTGTCTTGTAGTGAAATAGCCAGGTTGGTCTAAGTGTTGCAAACCAGGACAAACAATGGGCCAAAAAACCAAGTGTAGACAGAAACAGGAACCGACCTTAGTTTTGCTGCTAGCTATGGCCCTGGGTAAATAACCTGAGGTACTCACTTTCCCATGTGTAAAAGTGGAATCAGATGATCTATGTGTCCCAAACAAGGAAGGAAGGATCCTAGAGATTTGTAGCCTAGGCTTGGTGAGAGGAGAAGGTGGAGCCTATATTTACAATCCATGAGGACCTATGTTGGTGTGATTGAAGGGTGGCAGAGTTTTAAAAAAGAAGACCCAGTTTACATTTTAGGTTGTCAAACATTTGGGCATATCACAGCATCTTAGCATCTTATTTTCCCTGATTTGTAAAATGAGGTCAACAGTCTAGATCTCTAAATTTCCTCTTAGTTCCAATATTCAAAGAATTATTTTGGATGGAACTTTAGAACAATAGAGAACTATTTTTTTTTTTTTTTTAGTAAATTATGTTTTCAAAATACATTTTCAGATATATATCCCTTAGGTGTGTTAAACGCTGGAAGAATTAAAATTATTGTTCAAATGCAGGAAAACTATTAGAAATAATCTTAGAACCTAAATTAATTCCCAAATTAATAGATTCAGCATGACGAATAATTCTCTAGCAAAGCAATTTTTAAGAAATAAATCCTAAGTTTAATAATTACCCTTAATTTTCTTGTCTTTCTTATTTTTTTTGATGTAACACACCCTCATCCTGATATTATCATAATGGTTGCATTGCTTACATGAAACAGGATAAATCTTTCCCAAAAAAGTGCTCACAGAGACATCCACAGAGAAAAACAAATGTATTGTTGGTTCAAATAGTCTCAAATAGCAGAAAGGCAGTCTCTCATTGGTTTAAGACATCACTTAGTAATGTTTTAGAGAGCCATTCATTTTGGCATAGTTCTGCCAGTAAAACTTAATGTGATTTATGCTTTAATTAACTCAAGATAAATTTTTAGAAAAATTTAGTTCAATCTGTGAGAGAGTAAACATTTTCAAATCTTACAGTTAAGACTTCAATAGTATGAGAGCAAGTTTAGAAAACATTTTTATTAGACAAATTATTTAGACAAATTATACACAGAAAGCTCTGTCACTCATAACTGAGGCCTCCAAAAATGTTTTGTGTGTTTGTATAATAGGCGATACATCAAAATAAGCCTATTTTAAATATTGTACATGGTTAACAGTTTGTTGATAGCTAAAATCACTGCAACATCTGGTATGTCCCTATATAGCTTGTTGTAAAGATTTTTTTGTTTTAAAATCAGAGTTGTAAATGAGATCATGAATGTTACAAGGGAAAACAAGTTGTGCATGCACTTAGTTACTTGTTACCCTGGAAACAAAATGGTTTTTGCATGATAAGAAATTTTTCTGCCTTACACAGTAGACAATATTTGAAGATTTAGTACAAAACAGTGACAATACAAGATGCTCCCCAGAACAGAATTAGCATCAAAATATAATATATCTTAAGAATATACCTTTTAATTTCTCCTAAAGCAAATCACATAGGTTGATTCCTATATCAATCCTAGCCACAGAATGAGTTAGATTAAAGTAAGTGTATGGCTGCGTAAAAACACAGAATAAGTTCTTGCTTCCTACTTACCACATTTTAATTTAAGGATTACAAACAAAGTTCATTCTACATTTCTAACAAGTAAGAATGCTACTTTAAAAGGATTGTGCACAAAGAGGCACTGTTTTTGCTGTCATCCTTCTATATACTTGGCACTAATGTAAAAAATACATAACTCCTCCAAATAGAACTAAATAAAAAAGGGAGTTGAGTTGAGAGCCCATTATGGTTATTATGTTTTCTTCTTTAGGATAATAAATGACAGTAATTTAAGGCCACATCAATAGTTCTTAAGGGCTCCCACCCCTCCCCAAATATCATTATTGTATTGATTGACTTGCTGCTTTGGAAGAGGATTTTTAACCTTCAATGATCTATGTTTCAACTCTTCTAGAGCTCTATGTGCTGTTGTGGATGTGGTTCAGCTAATAGCATTTTTCATTTAGATAATTAATTAAAAGTAAAATTATCAAGGTTAGCTTTATACACTGCTGAATAACAAATGCAAAACCTATTCAAATGAGTTACATCTAGGAACAAATATTAAATTGCCCTGGATGCTTTAATAACAAAAGTATAAAATATTTTCTGTTGGCAAACAATGCGAGTCAGAATAACATTAAAGCAACCTGCCTTTTCTAACTGAAAAGAACCCCTGCACTATACATAGTTCCTGTATACAATACTTTTGTTTAAACTAAAGCTTTATTAAATGAATTGCAATAGCAATGGCTGCCTTTTTATATATATACACATTATATAGGTGCATATATATGTATATATATGAAATACTAATTTATTTAACACAATAGAGGCTTCTGCCATATGATAAAGTTTACTGTACATAAGAAAAAACTTTTAATACTGTACAATCACATAAAGGTCATATGCACTGTTGCAGTGCAAGAGTAGTTTTAACTGTAGTCTTGACTGGCATATTAATGGCTTTTTTGTAATCCTACAAAATTGCATTCTCATCTTATGTGGCCTGAATGGTCTTAAAATTGTTTTATAAACACTGCAGGGGTTGCCTTTGGTCCACAGTTAAAGGACACTCAACAGCAGTGGAGCATTGTATGGATGCAGCAGAAGAATGTAAAAAGACTGAAGTTATTGCAATTGTATTTCAAAAAATAGAGAAATGTTACAGAAGAGGCCTTTATGTAAAATTAATCCTGCATATACTTTTAGTATACTCAGTGCACATTTCCTATACTTGATGTACAGTATATGAAAAGCAGACTAATAGGATCCTAGTACACTACCTTCTTGGGGAACAAGTTGAGTAATGAAAAAAAGTGGAGGAAAATGTACAGGAAGGGAGGGGGAAAGAGAGAAAATCATAGAGGAGAGAGGAGAGGGAGAAGGTGGGAGGAAAAAACTAGAATTGTTACTAATAATCCTGATCTTTTTTTTAAACGTTACATCCATGTTAGTCCCACAATATTACAGTTGCTCCTTGCAAAGGGAGTCCTAAAAAAGAAACAGTGAAGAGATTTGTTTGATGCTCATATGGAGGTGCCTCGGTCTGGATCATTACCCAGATTGAGCCCCAGGGTAGGAGTTGGTTGATAAGGAATAGATGACATTGTTTTTATAGGACTCCTGAAAAAGCCCCCATTAGGTGCCCTGTGCCTAAAAGGGCCAGTTCGGTGCTCAGGCACGTTGCCAAAAGTGAAACCAGAAGCAGCTTTAGCTGACAGTGTGCGGCTAAGAGTCTGGATCTGCTCTGGGATAAAGGTTGTTGTGGTAATATGAGTGTTCCTGAAATCACTGATTTGCTCCAGTGCTTGTCGTGTTGGCAAAGTGTCAATGTCCAGAGGGGTCAAATCAATTGACGAGGTGGAAAACTGTTTATGGGGGCTGTCGTCATCTGTGCACAAGCTATTTACACGTCTATGGAGGTGCTCCAGGTCAATTTCCTTGTCATCCTGGAGATGAAGAAAAAGAAAATAAGGTTCTCATCAGTACTAGCTTTGATGGTTAAAAAAAAAAAAGTAGTTCAGCAAACATGTAATTAACTGAACTTTGGGGTTTATTCATTTAACAAATATTTATTGAGCACCTAGTATGAGCCAGGCACTGTGCTAAGTTCTGGGGGATTCCAATTCTGAGATAAGATTATCTACAATAAATATTTTTCTTGCAGTAAAGGTTTTAAAGTGATCATATGCCACATGCAACTACAAAGATATGTAAGCAGTTGATGGGTGATTGCCATTCTATAAAAGACAGACCCAGGCAAAATTGTAACAATAGAAAGTATGGTTTTGGCAACTCTACCCCCCACCTCTTCTTTATACATGCTTCCTCCCTTTTCAGGGCGTCTCATTCCAAGTTAAATTTTTGTTCCTTTCAACCACTTACTCCTAAACTTAAGTTTCCATTCTTGAAAAAAATGATATAGTAAGCTATTTCATACTGAAGTGTTAGTGACTGTTAAAGTGTTATTCCTTGTAAGCCAAGGATATGTGCGATTGTTTAGAGAGAGCAATACTCAACACAAAATAATTTCTAATTGAGGGATTTATGCACTCAAGGTATCTAGCACCTGAATCAGTCAATACTGTGAGGTCAGTGAGATATTTAGGGACCCCTTCAAGTCAGGGCACGTGAGTGATAGCTTTAGTTTAGGGCCAGCTTTATGCTAACTGACCTCAAAACCAAAGACGTTTTAAGCTATGCTAATGGCGTCTTGGTAAGAAGGCAGTTAATAAACAAAAATATAAGTAAAATCTCAGATTTTTGGAATTGAAACCCATTGATAAGTTCCTTATATTTTTCACTAAAAGTGAGTATTAACGCCCAATATTTGAGAAATAAAACTGGAAGGAAATAAAATTATCCTTGTTATTAGTCTTATTTACAGCCAAACTCAATAAATTAAATTTATGAGAATTTAAGATATCTATTAATCATAAGAGGAGAAAATATTTTTTCATAGGATCTGGATTAGCTGTCACAAGTTAGAATGGAGCATGTATTTTTTTCATTGTGCTATTATAGTGTTCCTCAGTGAAAAATATTTTGATGTGCATCACTGTTTTTCCTTCTCCCTTCTTATTTCAAAATTCAATAAAAAATATCCATTAATGCAATATTATCACTGAGACTTTAGAGGATTGAGACATATAATTTTATGGTTCCCACAGCAACTGTAATGTAGTCATCCATCAACAGATATAATAATGCAAAATTTTAATATCATATAGAGTAATTCAAAATATAAGGAGCTTGGGGAGTCCTTACTTTCCAGATTTTTAAAAATATGAGTCTCAGCTATAATGTTGCATTAATGTGGTCTTTTGCATTGAATCAATGTCAACGGAGATACCAGAAGCTTATTCCACAAAGAAAACACTACAATGTGACTTGATTAATTTATAATTCATTCTTCACATATTTAGAATGTATGCTCATTCACACAGGTAGGAAGCTAAAATTCATCTTTGCTAAAGCCAAGCTTTTCCTTATAAATGCTGCTGATCAATTTTGCATATAAGGTGATAAGAAGGAATCCTTACACTACTTTTGAAATCACCCTGTTTGAAAAAAACACATTAATGTGCAACAATTCATATGCAAATGAGAAGCCGTATTTATTGTGCATTAAAGTAGATCCTTTCAGGAGTTGCCTCAGGCATCAGTTAGTCAGCCAAGTTCTAGTTATAGAAACTTTAAAAGTTTCTTTGAAGCTATCCATCACATAAAATTGTTTAGCAAATTCAGATTGGTTTTTGTTTCAATTTGTGAAGCTTTAGTGAATATGACTTCATCAGTTAAAACATTTTCACCCCTTTAGTCCAATGGAAATAAGATAAATTAATCAAGATTTAGCTTCAGATTTTCTTTAATTTATAAGTCTCATACTTCTTGATGAAAACAATGCTCAGGCCACTATAAAAGAGATATGTGTAATTCTGTAATTATTCTTTCAGATATTGAGATAAAATTTAATATGGCCCTGAAGTGAAGCTGACTCCACAGTAAAGGAGAAACATTGAAATTTGGATGTTTTCATGATGTGGATTTTGGATTTGATAAGCTTGGGGCCATCGAAGAGCTTCTATAGGTCTACATGAGTAGAGAAGGAGGCAGTCACTAGTGGTGAAGAGAAAATTCTGATCATTTTTATTACAGT